>NC_000013.11:76741439-76892954 GCF_000001405.40 Homo sapiens | reverse complement strand
TGGTTAACACCTCACAAAATTGTGATAATTAAGTCAACCTGACAATATGAAAACACTCGAAACAGAAAAACACTAGAATGTGATTAGAATGTGATAACTTATATATAGTTCCTCTCTAAATTTAATATCATGATTGGAAACCAAGACTTTCAAATTCTTATGAAACATCAGTGATGTTAATAATTAGTCTTAGTCAGAAGTTCCAGAATCACTCAAGTGATGAGGGCCAGCTATTTTTGTGTTCAGTTTGATATGCAAAGCCACAAGTAGAATGCACTTGTTCAATTTTATGAGCCCCAGAAGACCAGTGGATACTGCTTGCTTTGGGAAACTGGAACCTAGATCTCAGCAGTTTCCATGGATTCACTTTATCCTTGTCAAGAGTTAATGAGATCAGAATAAAGCCAAATGAACATGCTAGGAACTTGGTGCTTTGCAAACCGTAATGATATTTGAGAGAGCCAGAAATAAAATCTTGTTTATTTTGTGTACAGGACTGAATTAGGGAAAGATTAGGACAATAGTGTGTCAGTTCTATCCAGGGGCTCAAATAGAGATTCTTATTTGGGTAAAAGTACACATGGATACAAGGAAGGGAACAATAGACATTGGAGCCTACTTGAGGGTAGAGGTTGGATGGAAGGTGAGAATCCAAAAACTACCTATCAGGTACTATGCTTATTACTTTGGTGATGAAATAATCTGTACACCAAACCCCTGCGACGTGCAATTTACCTGTGTAACAAACCTGCACAGGTACCCATAAACCTAAAATAGGTTGGAAGGAAAAAAGAAGGCAGAAAGAAGAAATAAGGGCCAAGGACTTGACTCTTTCTTAACCCTAGTTCTTTCAGGGTGGCTACTTTGAGTTTCTGGTTACCAGTACTGCGGAACACAAGCACGTAGACTTTAGAGTAGCATTTCTGCCCCCAGCAGAGATAAAGAGCTGTGTTATCTTGGTCAAGTTACCTTACTTCTCTTTGCCTTGGGTTTCTCATCTGTAAAGGGGGAAAATAATATAACTTACTTCTTAATACATGTAAAGCACTCCTAGAGGAAAGGGGATTTAAAATGCAGTGTTTAAAAGCACAGATTCTAAGGCTACACTGCCTGGGTTCAAATCCCAGCTCCAGCACCTATTTGCTGTATGATCTTGGGAAAATTAGTTCACTGTGCCTCAGTTTCTCATCTAAAACTTGGGTAATAGCACCAACCTCATAAAGTTATTGTTAGGATTAAATGAGTTCATACATGTATAGTTCTATAAATAGGGCTGGCTCATAGTAAGTACTCTATACATGCTTGTTATATTATTTGTTTCCTGGATAAGCTCCAAACACCATCTTAAGGGTATAGAAATATCAACATTGTTAACTTTTGTTTCTTTGTTTGGTTCTATAAATCATAAAAATCATACTCTAGAGATAATCATACAATGTTGGGATATTCTTTACTGTCTAGACCTGTTTTTTTTTTTTGTTTGTTTTGTTTTTTGAGATGGGGTCTCGCTCTGTTGCCTAGGCTGGAGTGCAGTGGTGCGACCTTGGCTCACTGCAACCTCTGCCTCTCAGGTTCAAGCAATTCTCCTGCCTCAGCCTCCTGAGTAACTGGAATTTAGACCTAGTATTTTGGCAGTGTACCCTATATAACATTTTGTTCTCTTTTCTTCAGGTTAAATATTGTCACATCTTTTACCAAATCTTTATTAAGATCATTTTGCCTCCGGATTCACTTAATGTTATTCAATTAATCTCTCCTTCTAAATGCAAAAAGTCAATGACTTCTAAAGCCTGCATGGAGAAAAGATTCACACATATTAGGAGGATGACAAATGGAATAAATATTTATTCAGGATAATTTCTGATTCTGCCTCTCTTCCCCTTTCCCCATAGTGTTCATTTTAATGTTTCTGCCATTCATTTGTTCATTCAGTATTTATTGGGAAGACTTGTCAAGCACCATGATAAGTGGTGGAAAATAATGATTCTGACACTTGAATGGTGTTTTACAATGTACAGATCATTTTCACATATATTAAATTCATTCAATTCTCAAAGGCACTCACTTCATTTCACCAGTTCTTCCTCCCCTTTAACTTTATATTTCTCTTCATGTTCCTCATTCCTTTCCTTAAATCTTTGGTATGCAGAATACAGTAGTCTCCTTTCATACAAAGGGTATACATTCCAAGACCCTCAGTGGGTGACTGAAACCGTAGGTAGTACTGAACCTGATTGCTGTCCATTGGAACATGTTTCTCTTCATGTCTTCAATCCACAAGTTTAATGCCTTTTCCATTTTCACTACACACTTATCATGCACTCTGTGCCATACGTTTTGTGTTTGGAGGTGTGACAGCAAAACTAGCACAAATTTTTCCTTCATAATTTCACAGAAATTTCACAATGTCTACATTCTTATCATAGATCTTAGCAACCTTGGGATGTAACTTTTTTTTTCTTATTAAATTGAGAACTTTCACCTTTTCACTTAAAGGCAGCATTTTATGGCTTCTCTTTGGCATATCTGAATTGCCAGCATCACTACTCTTGTAATTTGTGGCCATTTATTAAGTAAACTGAGTGTTACTTGAACACAAGCACTGTGATAGGGTGATACTAAGACAGTTGATCTGACAGCTGAGATGGCTACTAAGTGACTCATGGGTTGGGAGTGTAGAGGTGTGGATATTCATGTCCAGGGCAAGACGAAGCAGGACAGTGGGAGATTTCATCACACTACTCTGAATGGTGTGCAATTTTGAATTTATGAATTAGTTATATTTCTGGAATTTCCATGTAATATTTTCAAACCACAGCTGACCATGGGTAACTGAAACCATGGTAATGGAAACTTTGGATAAGAAGGATTACTGTGGGGAGTGGGAGGGGAAGCTGGTTTGAAGAGAAGGCAGTAGGTGGGGGAGAAGATGCAAATGAGATGAGAATGTAGGTCCAGAGATGTTTCCAGTATCCTCCACTTTAGGATCAAAGGACAGGTTACTTGCAGGCACACTGTATCTTATTCAGGAAAATACAAAGAGTTACTTGAAAAGGAGCAATGACCATCAATTAGCAATGACCATCATTAGAAACTGGTTTGAGACTAAACACAGGGCTAGTGGGTTTCCAAATCCTCCCCAATCCCTTGCAATCAAGCATATTTAACATACTGGAGATGCTAAAGAGTTATGACTCTCTTCTTATAAACACTCAGGCCCTCAAGTCCCA
This sequence comes from Homo sapiens, assembly GCF_000001405.40. Taxonomy (NCBI): domain Eukaryota; kingdom Metazoa; phylum Chordata; class Mammalia; order Primates; family Hominidae; genus Homo; species Homo sapiens. The sequence continues at coordinate 76,889,724 of NC_000013.11, read as the reverse complement.
GCATCAGAGTTCCCCAGTAGTATTTCCTTTTGAATTCTGTGATACCAACCAATAGGCAAGAAACAGAACACACAAAATTAACTAGAAAAACATTCCTTGTGTTTCAAATCACCTGTTTCATTCATTATTATATCTCTCATGCATTACCTGGCTTCCATAAGGAAATACCAATGGCTTTTCTGCAGTAGACTAGCTGGTGGTTGATGACTACCTTATGTCAAGATGTAGAGAATGATGATAGTAGGCTGCAGGTAGTGAATAAGCACACGGTATCACTCACATTTGACTCTGTACTGATCATCTCAAGGGTACTTTGGAGATTCACAGGATACAAGTAGATGACACAATACATAAACTTTCAATGTGAGCTCACTCATAACTCAGGCCCCTTTAACTTGTTTGACCCTGTGCCTGGAATGCTCTTCCTCCAAAACTTCCCATGGCTGTCTCTTTCTTATTATTCAGCTCAAATGTCACATTCACAGAGATGCCTTCCCCAGGCACTCTGTATAAAGTAGTATTCCACACTCAGTCCCTCTATCACATCTTATAATTTTATTTTCTTTGTGGCATTTATCACCACCTGAAATAGGCTTACTTATCTTTATACTATATTTATTTGTCTCCCTCGCAAGACTATAAGCTCCTAGTGGGCAGTGATTATTTTTTAACATGCAGCCTGGAATATAGTAGTAGGCCCTGAATAAATAGTGGTTGAATGCTTGCGTGAGCAACAGATATTTATCAAATGCCTGTAATATACCAGCTCTGTTCTAGGCAGTGGGGGTGTGGCAGTGAACCAAGCAGACAAAAACTGCTGAAGTCTTGGAGTTTATATTCTGATGTAGGAAAAGAGTCAACAAATAAGGCAAGGAAGAGGAAGCTGCAGTGAGGCTGTGCTGCATTAAGAAGTGGAATCAAGGAAAGGTCTTGCTGGGCAGACCTGAAGAAGGTGAGAAGGGAGGGACCTGAACAAGGTGAGGAACACGGGAGGGAGGAGAAATGAGACTTTTACAAGGATGTGCAAAGGCCCTGAGAAAACAAGAAAGGGGCTATGTGGCTAAAGCCAGCCAGCTCCTGGGGGCAGGGCAGGAGATGTGTCAGAGAGGTGCTGGTGGGATAACTCCAAACATGTAGAGTCTTGTAAGCCACTGAGAGGACTTTGGATTTTGCTCTTTCTGAGATAGGAAGCCACTGGCAGGCTCTGAGCAGAGTGACATACCAGCCTTGGATTATAAGCAGGGTCCCTGTTTTTGTTCTGGTGATACAAGACTGTAGGAGCAGAAGTAGAAGCAGTTAGGAGACCAGTGCAATAATCCAGGCAAGAGATGATGGTGGCTTGGTCCAGGGTGATGATAGGGAGATGGTGAAATACGTTAATAGTCTAGAAAGATTTTTAACACAGAGCTGGCAGGATTTGCTGATGCAATGAGCAATGGTAATTATACAAAAATATGTGCAGAACTGATACAAAGAAGGCTTTTCTTGGATTTGTAGAAAAGAGGCTGGTTTTGTCAGGTCTCTGACACTAATATAACGCCTAGTAGCACAACCACCTCGAAATCCTGCACTGGGACTTGGAAGTTTTGTGTTATCTATTATTTATCCCAAAGAACAGAACAACAACAAAAAAAGAATGTTGAAATACATTCAGTATCAAAATCTGTACTTGCAATTAAGATAACTGGTTTGGGGGTTGATCTCATTTCAGCACACTGACATGAGCGCGGTAATTGTTGAGCAGATATAAACATTTCAAAATAAAAATGACATTTATCTGTGAGGAGACTGTGAAGCTCACTGGGTAGTTACACAGAAGGATAAATTTTATCAAGAACAAAGATCTTGCCTGATTTATCCTGATGTGTGGTCTATACTTCAAACTGATGTGATAACTGCGCAGACCCCTGACCCTTTGCTTATTGGGCTACACTGAAAGCGCTTTGGAGATTATTCGCCTTTGCATTCCTCACTCCCTGGTGCCCTGCAAATAATAGCAGGTACACAAGAAACATTCAGTGACCCAATCATTTCTTGACACCCTCCTCTGCACTCTTCTCTTTTTGCAGCATTCAGGAGCTCTTACTTATTTTCATACCCAAATCAGTGATCAGATAATCACTCATAAATATGACATTTCAGAACGTGCTGGGAGCAGCGCAGACAGTGTGTAGGGAGCCATCCAGAGGCCCCACCCACCTGGGAAGCCAGGGAAAGCTTCCAGGGGGAGGGGGCGGTTCTGTGGGCTGCAGTCCGAGGGGGAAAAGCAAACGTGTAGGCAGCAGGAGTTGAGAGATGGGATCCAGACAAGGGCCTTCAGATATATAAATATCCCTTTCTGAGACTGACGGGAACTTGGACAGGGCCGAAGAGTGACCGAGGCATGCGGGAGAGAAGGGGCGCCTGGACTTTTGGAAGGATAAACATGCAGGCGCCAAAGGTGGCTTTAAAAATTACGTTAGATCTGCAACTGTTGTGAGTCTAAGGGCGCGATTCAACGAAGGCTGAATGGGACCCGGAGACCGAACGTTCCGGAGTCTTACCCCTTCACTTCGAAGTGAAGTGCCTCGAAGGCCCTGCGGGAAGAGGGAATTGCAATTAAGAGCAGATTTGAAGCTTCATCTCATTTTGTCTCTGCAGCCAGAAAATAAACTATCGTAAAGCATCCTACTGCGGGACACTGAGGTTTGCTTTTTGTTTCTAGGTTTATTTATTTATTTTCCAGGCTGGCTGCAAGGCAACTTGAACAAAATCTGGCTGCGCTCGGACTGGGGCGGCTCTTTCGTCTCTCCAGGTTTTTCGCGTCTCTCTACTTTCAGTGACACGACAACCAACGATGGCAGGCCGCAGCTGCACTGCTGGAAGCGCCCAGTTCCGCAGGCGGGAGGGCCGGAGGCGGCCACGCATTTCCACTCCCGGGGCGACAGGCTTCCGAAAGTTCACGTCCTCCTTCCAGAGTCCTTGGGTGCGGGCTGGGGCGAGAGGGGAGGGGGCGCGGTGACTGTCCCTCCAAGGAGCTGTCTTCCGAAGCCGCCAAGTCTCGGGCGGGTCCTCTTCGGAAGAGGGAGAAAGTTGGGCGGGACCACGGGGCGGGGCTGGTGGGTGGGGAGCGGGTGGGAGTCCGGGCGCCCCCAGCGCTCGCGAGCCGGGGTGGAGCCAGCAGCCCCGCGTGGCGTCCGCGTTTAAGATGCAAATCGAGTCCCCGCTCCCCACCTCCCCTCGCCCGGTAAGCGAGGCTCCGCCGCCGCCCACGCCTCCTGCGCGCCACGGCACCAGAGCAGGCGGCTCTACTTAAGCAGCGCGCGGGCCGCGACCCGGCACTCGCCTGGAGCGCGCGGGCAAGGCGGGCGGAGCGCACTGGAACTCAAGGGGGCGCACAGCGGCGCGCTCGCACCGCTCGGCTCCGCGCGGCTCTAGGAGGTGGCGGCGGTGGCGGTGGCGGCGGTGGCGGCGGCGGCGGCGGCGGGGCGCAGGGCTGAGCGAGCGTCCGGGTTCCGGGGCTCCGGGGAAGGCGGTTGCAGCTCCTGAGTGCAGCGCGGCTTCCTGCCACTGTCCCGGCCCGGCCACCTCTCTGTCATGGCTCTGGCGGACAGCACACGTGGATTACCCAACGGGGGCGGCGGCGGGGGCGGCAGTGGCTCCTCGTCGTCCTCCGCGGAGCCACCGCTCTTCCCCGACATCGTGGAGCTGAACGTGGGGGGCCAGGTGTACGTGACCCGGCGCTGCACGGTGGTGTCGGTGCCCGACTCGCTGCTCTGGCGCATGTTCACGCAGCAGCAGCCGCAGGAGCTGGCCCGGGACAGCAAAGGCCGCTTCTTTCTGGACCGGGACGGCTTCCTCTTCCGCTACATCCTGGATTACCTGCGGGACTTGCAGCTCGTGCTGCCCGACTACTTCCCCGAGCGCAGCCGGCTGCAGCGCGAGGCCGAGTACTTCGAGCTGCCAGAGCTCGTGCGCCGCCTCGGGGCGCCCCAGCAGCCCGGCCCGGGGCCGCCGCCCTCGCGGCGCGGGGTGCACAAGGAGGGCTCGCTGGGTGACGAGCTGCTGCCGCTTGGCTACTCGGAGCCCGAACAGCAGGAGGGCGCCTCTGCCGGGGCGCCGTCGCCCACGCTGGAGCTGGCTAGCCGCAGTCCGTCCGGGGGCGCGGCGGGCCCGCTGCTCACGCCGTCCCAGTCGCTGGACGGCAGCCGGCGCTCGGGCTACATCACCATCGGCTACCGCGGCTCCTACACCATCGGGCGGGACGCGCAGGCGGACGCCAAGTTCCGGCGAGTGGCGCGCATCACCGTTTGCGGAAAGACGTCGCTGGCCAAGGAGGTGTTTGGGGACACCCTGAACGAAAGCCGGGACCCCGACCGTCCCCCGGAGCGCTACACCTCGCGCTATTACCTCAAGTTCAACTTCCTGGAGCAGGCCTTCGACAAGCTGTCCGAGTCGGGCTTCCACATGGTGGCGTGCAGCTCCACGGGCACCTGCGCCTTTGCCAGCAGCACCGACCAGAGCGAGGACAAGATCTGGACCAGCTACACCGAGTACGTCTTCTGCAGGGAGTGAGCTCCCCAGACCCCCTCGCCACTCCAGCGCCCAGTCCTTCTCCTGCCCGAGAGATGATTACAGAGCCTCTTGTCCCACCTTTGTCCCCTGGCTGCTGCCCTCCCATTCTCCCCCTCCAGTAGTAGCTGGGTGAGACCTGTCCGCCCACCTTCCCTCCACTACAGAACCTGCAGCCGCAAATCCTCTGGGCTGCTTCGTCTTCTTTGGACCTCCTGAACCGAGAGAACCCAGAGGAACCCCCACCCCACCCCCACCTACCACTCCATGCTTTCTCTACTCCCTGCCTCAAACCACCCCTCCCCCAGATGGTACTTCAGTTTGGATCTATTGGGGGAGTGTGGCCACAGACCGGGGGATGATTGAATTGTTCAGAACCTGATTGGACCGTGTCCAATGTGCGGAAGATTTCCTTGAAATCTTCTCAAGCTCTTATGACTCACTGGGGGTTTAAGAGATCAGGATTGGTTCCACTGTCTGGGGTTAGTGTTTTACAAGGTCATTACACAGTCTTTTTGACCTCTTTTGAAGGTAGAGTTTTAGAAGGCTGGATGGAAGATTCTGAGCCTGGAATTAGGACCCCATGGAGGCAGTTCAGTAACTAAACTAATAAAGTTTTGAAAAGTTACACGTAAAGTAGAAGAATCTAGTGCGTGGGACAGTAAAGGATCCTTTCTCGTACAGAATAAAAGGTCTCAGCCTGTAGCTTAAACTTATAGAAAGTGATCCGCCTGCCTGCAGAGGCGCCCTTTTCAGCTGCTGCTCGCCAGAAGCCCTTGATTCCACTGGTTGACATGGCAGCAGTTACTGGCAAGAGGGAGAAAGGACGCTGCCGCCTAAGAGTGCAAGGCTGCTCAGGTCTCCAAGCGCCGTAGGAGGTCACCTGGCAGTGACTGTAGGGAGCTGGGTCATAGTGCACGTCGTGGGTATTAGGAAAGCCTGTATTCTTTCAATGAATGTCAGTAGGACCTTCCTTTAGCTGTAAGACTTGGTGGGCGGGGTGGGGTGGGGAGGGAGGAAAGGGTAGGAAGGGTGGGAAGGGAGAAGCAGACATAGTCATTTATGATTTGAAAGTTGGAAGTTTGTACCATCTGTTTGAGTATATGCACATTTAAAAAATATCATATAGTAAATGCAAACATGCCAAGTATTTTATAAAGATTAATAACAGACCTACTCTTACCTGGCAGTTTACTTAACTTACTGTTTTGAGTCCTAAACTTAGAGTTGTTAATGCTTATATATAATCTAACCAAAGAGTTACCCAGTAGGGTTTTAGTTTTTGAACTTTTATTTTCTTGTTGATTATAAATCCTGATTTTGGAATCTATTGCGCAAAAGAAGTTTCATTTTGGTTACTTAGACCTAAGATCACTTATTAAAAATCCTTATTTTCTCCAAGCCCAGCAAACGTTGACTTCTGGGCAAACCTGAAAACCTGAAAATGCCACTTTCATGCAGTTTGTTTGAAGTTAAGTGGAATCCTTTCAAATGACGAGCTGCAGAGAACTCAGCACCAAGGGCTGCCTATCTGTAGATAGCTGTAAAATGGAATATTTTTAAATGAAGGCAAATAAGTACTTAAAAGTGAGCTGAGCAATAAAATGGTCCAATAATAGGTAAATGCAACAGAAACAGAAGGAGACCTGGTTGCCTTATGCCTTTACTCTTACATGGAATAAATTCCCAATGCATATCCTATGTAAACCATAAGTGAAGGGAAATAAACCTCGTCATGCTCCATGCTGTGAGGTGTCCTTTGGATATTCTGTGATGACAGAGAAGCCTATTTTGTTTTGTTTTCAGCATCTTTCTCTGATGTACGTTTTTAAGGATTTTGTAAGAGCTGTTTTCAGTGTTTAAATTAGTGCTATTTTTCCTTGTTTTTAAAAATGAATCTCGTACTGTATCTTACTATGTCCATACAGATGTTACAAATCGACAGTTTTATTCTTAGACTCATGTGATCCAAGCTGTATATACCATATATAAACATTTTACATGAATCATTTAGTTTTTTAATTCATTTACTAATGCTATAAAATTTCCTATATTACCCCAGTAATTTGCATCAGCTGGTTTATATACTAAAGCAACATGTTTTGATGAGTTTCTTACATCCTTATCGAGGAATTGGGTTAGGAAAAAATACATAATTGTAAAACTGAGTTTGCTGTATTATACTTTTTTTCTTGAGTATTAGTTGTATTACTAATCATATGTTGATTAACTGTCTACTTAAAGTCAAGGTACCTGTATTTTTAATCCACTAATTTTTTTTTAGTTGGGAAATAGATTTCAGGTCTTTTATTAGACTAACATTTTTTGAGAAGTAAAATTGACTTCATATACAAAGCCTGTAATTTTAGGCGAAATGGAAGCAGAAATCTAGGAAGTTGTGCTTGCTTGTATGTTGAGTTTGGTCTCAGACTAAGTAATGCATCAGAATTCATCTGTTTGAAGCCTGAAATAATTTAGGACTCTGATTCACTGACCAAAAGTCAGTGTTGCAGAGATTTCTCTACCCCGTATGGTATTTTGTTAGATTGTTCAACAGGAAGCACATGATTGAGAACATCTTGGGACAGACCAAAACCACTGACAGATGGCAAGGCTCGGCGATTCTGATTTCCCTTCTCAAATCTGCTCAACTCCAAGAGTCTTGAGAAACTGCTAAAATTTTGCCTCTGTCACTCAAGTCTTACAAATGTTATCTTGTAAACCTTTGAGGTGAACTATTCCACTGTCTTGTACATAGGCATCTTATTCACTGCACCCTGTCACACCCAGCACCCCCCGCCCCGCACATTATTTGAAAGACTGGGAATTTAATGGTTAGGGACAGTAAATCTACTTCTTTTTCCAGGGACGACTGTCCCCTCTAAAGTTAAAGTCAATACAAGAAAACTGTCTATTTTTAGCCTAAAGTAAAGGCTGTGAAGAAAATTCATTTTACATTGGGTAGACAGTAAAAAACAAGTAAAATAACTTGACATGAGCACCTTTAGATCCCTTCCCCTCCATGGGCTTTGGGCCACAGAATGAACCTTTGAGGCCTGTAAAGTGGATTGTAATTTCCTATAAGCTGTAATAGTGGAGGTATTGTGGGTTCATTTGAGTAAGCCCTCCAAAGATACCATTCAAATAACCTGGGAGAATGTCATAAATTATTCAGATAATTAACACTGCATGAATCTGATTCAGAGGCATGCATTTACATATGTTGCCCTAATTACCATTTGATGATCATAAATACAAGTGAATGACATTGGACTTTTAGTAACAAACTTAATTTTTAAAAAGGTGTAGACAATGGTGGTTAAAAAAAAAAAAAAAACAGGTACCAGGTTCTGTGTGTTTGCACCAAGTAATTGACATGTTTTTTAATACATGTGGACCATGAACAGTATTCATTCTACTTTTTCAAATGATATGCTGTAGAAAATATTCCTTGAAGATGTGAGATTTAAAAATTTTTCCCTTTCAATGTTGTTATGTATTCTACTGGTTTTTGATTGATAGCACAGTGATAAATCATAATACTAGACAAAATTGTCTTCTCTTTCAAACCAGAGCCATATATATGTCTGTATATATGGGACCTACTGCTTCTCTGAGGAAATGCATAATCTGTTAATATCAGACAAAATGAGCAATTGGCAGTGCTCATAATATATTCCAATTTTTATTGGAATTTTCGATGGAATGTTATTTCAATAAAGCCATGTAAGGTGAAACTTTGATAACTTTTTACTCTTCAAGTTAGGGTAAATTCTGATCCAATATTCAATTCATTTGTGTACTCCCACATGCAAAATGCTAAATTACAATGCAGACATTAAGAAAAAGTATTGACTGGAGGGGTTGAATTCCTTGAGAATTTATTTTATAGTCTAAATCACAAATACTTTACTCAATTTAGTTTTTAAAATAGTAAACTGAATATTTTTGTTGTAAGCCTATCAGAGTCAATCCTTCGTTTGGAATTGTTTTCCTGTTTTTCCTTACTATAAATCATTTAAAAACTGAATTCATTTTCTTAGATGGCATAAGTCTGTCTCTTGAGAAATAAGTAAAATACTCCTATTTTCAGTATCTGTAGCACCTGAAATAGGTCTTTGTATAGCCAGAAACAAGTTATGTTGAAGTTAGCTTTTCTTTGTCAACAGTTTTGGACAATAAAAATCTGAAAGTATTAACACTTGATTTTCTACTGGGGCCCTTCAAACTTGGTTGGAAGAAATTCAACCAGAATATCTACATTAGAGTATAATCATGTGTGGTAGGAAGATGGACTAGTTAATCAAGATTTGTTGTCACTTAAATTTTTTGTGATTTTTTTCCAAGCCAGTTTTTTTAAATTCTAAATGTGTTTTGAGGTATGGGTACATTAATTGTAATGTAAACTATTATACAACTGTTTTTGCGACTTTATAGGCAGGTAAATTTTGCTATTACTATTGAATACAAATGACAATTCATTTATGACCACTCAAACAGCGTTAGTAACCATTTAGTGACAAAGGATTAAAACATCCATCTGGATGTTAATTTTGAAGATGTAAATTATATGTTGTTTAAATTTTTCCAGGCATCTGAAAACCTTATCTGCTAGACAATGTAAGATTCACACAGAGTTATCTGGGATTCTGATTTTTTAAATAGTACATATCATTAAACCATTTTCTCTAAATGTAAGAAGAGCAGAAAAAATCTTATAAGATTATCAGATTTTTCTAATGACACAGAAATGTAAGAAAAAAATCCCTTTATATTGAAAAAAGATGCAGTCAAAGTCTTTTCAGACATGCCCAAACTTTGAGAATTTCTTCAACCATCTAATGCTATAAAGATTTTTGTTCTTCCTGTTCACAACCAGTTGTATAACAGAAATACTAGCTACTGTTTTCCTTCCTGTGTGTGAAGTAATGAATCATTGATTATGTGACTTGTTATGTATTCAATTAAACACTAAAGAATAAAACATTCACTCCTTTAATTATTCCTCTTGGCTCCTTGGCATGGATTGGCTTGAACACTGGTCTAATTTCATTTACGGGGTTCTCTAAATACTGGCAACACTTCCCAAATTATTGTGGGACTACTGCTGAGCATTATGCCATCAGAACTCTTCACCAAGGAACCGGCCAGCAGGACCAAGCACAAATAGCTTCTTTCCCCAGAGTTTATTGTCAAGAATGCCCAGGCGGTCTGGTACTTAATATGGAAGAAATGTTTTTCACAAACATTTTCTTTGACTTCTCTGCAGCATATGCCACTTGCTGTGTATAGGGACAGGGAAATAGAAGCTTCGAGATGTGCTTTACTTAAAAGTACAGTTCATGAGAAGGTTCTAAAAAATGTTGGGAAAGAGGAGCTGCATTTTTTGATGTGGGGGCACTTTACTGCCTCATCTCTAGTGGTTGATGTTCCTCCTCTCTAAAGAAGGCACAGTGCTGCTAAGATTGAGAAATCACAGAAACAAGTCGTCTGGGTTATGGCACCGGAAGCCATGAGTCAGGCGGGTAGAGTGAGCCAGGCTTCACCCTTCCTCTTTCCTTTTGCCTGTACTTCCTCTGGATAGCTTTTGTTTTAAAAGTGTGTGTGTGTAGACACATTATTTTTTGAAAATGTAATACAGATTAACCCTCCTCCAGTAACCGCTAGTTTTTCCTAGAGGCCTCCCTTTTTTTTTTTTTTATCTTTTCTGTAGAAATCACACCTGTTCTGTGTCTTGCTTTCTGTTTGTTAACTACATATCCTGGAGCTACTGCAATGCATGAACATGTGGCAATGATCTACCTCATTTTGTTTGATAGCTACATGATATTCTACATGACACGCCATTGTCTAGATGTGCTGTCGTTTATTTTGTAAGTCCTTTATTGATAGGCATTTAAAATTCCGGGTATTTTTTTTCTACTCCAAAGAGTGCTGTACTGAATGTCTTTTTACATATATGCAAATATATTTGAGTCCAGCTTTTTTTGTATGAAGTGATGCCAAGAGAGAAATGACCAGGAGGTACTTTTTCCTTCTTGAGGAACTATGGAAACAGTGGGATTCACTGGAAGCTTTTTAGGAATTGGTGGGGGTGGTGTGAAATCACTCTAGAGTCATTAGGTATATAAGTGTGAAGTTTTATGTAGCTTTTATATTGGAAACAAGGCCCCTTCCCTTTGTTTTATACCTCCTTTCAAATTTTAGATTTTTTCAATGAATTATGACCAATATTTTGGTTTTAGGTATACAGTATATCTAGAGGAGCCATGTTATATCCCATACTTCTTAAGGAGGCACCTCGGGGGGATTTGGAAAAGGATGGGAAGTTATAGAAGAAATATGGGGTGCCTTCTGGAATCTCAGTTTTACTAATTAAGATATGTACCTATGGATAGGGGAATTAGGTCCTTTCACTGGTAAGTGATTTATAAAAATCTGTTTCATTTTATGGAAGGATTGAGAAATTTTCATGAATTTAAGAGAGAAAACCCTACATGTTAAAGATACTCTGAGCTTGTAGTATCCTAGGAATGAGTGCACGCTCTTCTGCCGTTAGGAACTTGGCGATGGTGGTAGTGGTAGAGTTGAGAACTTCTGTTGGCATATACTGGGCTTGATTTTTGAGAGATAGTTTAGGGAAAACGTCAGCCTCCTAAGTTCTCTGCTTTACTATGCTCAGGTAAGAAGTTTCAATGTCCCTCTGGGGCCCAAGGGCACCTTCTTTACCCTCACAGATCTCCTAAGAGTAGTGGATGGGGCGAAGTAGAAAAGAGGTCATCGAGGCTGTTTTAGGCCATTAACTCTTAACTTGGCTGCTGCAACTTTCCCCCTTGTAGAGCAGCCATTGAGGATTCATTCATTCAAAATCTCTGAGTACTTACTGTGTGCCACACTGTGCCAATCTGATAGGGAAACGGGGATGACTAAGACACAGAAGTGCTGAGGATCAGTAAGAGAGCCAAATAATGATAGAATGACTTGGAAATCAGGGCTAAGATAGTCTGAGCAACTGAGGGAGTCAGAAAGGGAGATACCTAAGTCAGGTCTTAGGCTTGCTAGAGGAGGAGACACCAGAGCAAAGGCTTAAAAGTGAAGAAGAGAAAGAGGAGAGGCCTGCTAAGTCCAGGTCAGCTTAGTGAGGAATGATCGGGAGACAGCAAGAACTAGAAACAGCTCAGTGTTGCTGAAACCTCATGGCAAAAGCAAAAAGCCCTCTATGCCCACCAAAAAAACAACCAAACCAAACCAAAACCAACCAACCAAACAAAAGCATAGAGAAGCAGTAAGAGCCAGATCAGGGTGAGCCTCACGTAACCCATTACAAGATTTGAACTTTGGTTCTCAGGGTTTACTGAAGAATTTTAAGCAAGGTGTAAAGTAATCAGAGAATTCCATTCTGCAGAGAACGTTTGGGGGCTCTGCGAGGAATGGGTTTGATAGGCATGGCCAGGAGTCAGAAACCAGGAAGGAGGCTGTTTATGCGAGTCCAGATGAGAGGACCACACGAAGCCATGTGCAGATCTCCTGGCTGCAATGGGGGTGGTGGGGAGTGGGTCAGGTTTTGTTCATCTTTATTCTCCCTTCAAACCTCTCAGGTTATGCATGAGTGAGATTTCTTTGCAGTGATATTGGACACACCATGTTTGAATGAGAGACTCTGATGTTCTGTTAATCCCTAGGTCTCATCATCAAGAGACATAGAGTCTTTAGAGAGACCTCATCAATTATTTAGTAGGTACTGTATTGAGCACCTATTATTATGCATGCGAAGTCCCCAAATGCGAAGTCATCCTTTCAGCTTCAACGACCATTAATTGAGCCCCTAATATATTTGAGACGCAGCCTTCTCCTTTACCGTCACCAACAGAGAGCAAAATGGTCAACTGGCCAAGTACTTATAGAAGTTAAAGTATTTCTATAACTACCAGACATGACAAAAAACTTAGCATCGTTGGACTTTACACACATTTCATGGTTGAAATTTTATGAACACTATCTTTCCCTCACAATTCTGTTAAATACACTTAACAGCTACTAAGAATGATCTCCGCTTCACCCTCCCTCCTTTTTTTCAGAGTGAAAAAGATGAAGCATAGGAATGATAGATTCTAAAATTAATTATTTGGAGTTCTCTTTTGTTAGAGTAACTGAAAACATTTCCCCAGTTATTTATCATTTATTTCTTAATAATTCATTATCCTGGGGCCGGGCGCGGTGGCTCACATCTGTAATCCCAGCACTTTGGGAGGCCGAGGCGGGTGGATCACGAGGTCAGGAGATCGAGACCATCCTGGCTAACACAGTGAAACCCCGTCTCTACTAAAAATACAAAAAAATTAGCTAGGTGTGGTAGCGGGCGCCTGTAGTCCCAGCTACTCGGGAGGCTGAGGCAGGAGAATGGCGTGAACCCGGGAGGCGGAGCTTGCAGTGAGCCGAGATCGCGCCACTGCACTCCAGGCTGGGTGACAGAGTGAGACTCTGTCTCAAAAAAAAAAAAAAATAATAATAATAATAATTCGTTATCCTTCTCCATTCTGCTTTTTGGGTGGGTGAGGGAAGAGTAGAATCCAAAGTTAGAGCAAGCTCTCATTTCTGTATACAGAAAGAAAAGGGCAGTGGAAATATCTTCTTTCTCTGTCTTTCCTTTTTGGAAAGCATTGAATAAAAAAAAAATCACAGTTTTTAAGCAAGAGGAATGCAAGAGAAACGAAGAGTTTAGGCTCATTGATGACTTGGGTTGCTTGCCTCTATTATATAGAGCAGCCCTAATTCTGTTATGTAGTGAGCCCTTAGCTCACCCTCGACATCTATTTGCCCATTTATAGAATAGAAAAAGCATTTATTTTTCTATTTTGCCCCAAGGCTCAACATAGTACATAACATGTAATAGAGGATCAATAAAGGTTAGTTGAATAAATTAATGAATGCTTATGTTAGTTCATTTTTTTTCACATATAGGGAGAAAAAGAACTAACTTGAAATTTGCCAATATTTGCTTTTTTTTTTTCTTTTGAGATGGAGTTTCACGCTTATTGCCCAGGCTGGAGTGCAGTGGGGTGATCTCAGCTCACCACAACCTCTGCCTCCCAGGTTCAAGTGATTCTCTTGCCTCAGCCTCCCGACTAGCTGGGATTACAGGCATGCACCACCATCCCTGGCTAATTTTGTATTTTTAGTAGAGATAGGGTTTCTCCATGTTGGTCAGGCTGGTCTTGAATTCCCGACCTCAGGTGATCTGCCCACCGCAGCCTCCCAAAGTGCTGGGATTACAAGTGTGAGCCACCACGCCCGGCCTTAATCTTTGCTTTTTAAAATAATGCTACGAAAGATCAATAATCCCCCTTTATACCTATATATTTGAAAAAATAGAACTAGTTTCATAAATAAATATATAAAAATGATTATCCTTTCATCTGACTTGAAAGTCAGAAAGATTAGGATGAGAACTAATTGATTCAGGTATCTTTTTTTCTGAATAGTTATTATAGGGCAGCTGCTCCAAAGCCCCATGTGAATTTCTGGCTAAAGGAGAAAATGCTCGGCAATGTTTCCATTTTATGACGAAAGTCAAGCTCACTGACAGCTGTATTATATACTTTCCTCTGGGGCTATTATTTGGTACAGATTTTTGAAAATCTTAACTGGAAAGTTTCAAAAGGTGCCTCTAAAAGTTGTAGGAAAGAAATTTGACCTCCCTGAAATGCTGGAGTATACTATTTCAAATGTTCTGTTGGTGAGAATTGTGGGTTTTAAAAATGACAGTTGCAAGTACTTAAAAAAAATAAATGATCTGTGCAATGATGCTCTGACCTTACAATAGTGAATATATATATTTTTTCCTGCCCAGAACTCCATGTGTTCAAAGTATAAGTTCTCTTCATGAGCTAATGTCAGAAACGGAGCTGTTAGTTAAAATTTTGCCCACTAGTTTTGGGAGTATTACTTTAAAAACATAAGTACAGCAAAGACCAAAAAACAAGAGTGAAACTTTATTGTATTGTTGTTGTATTTCTCCTCTGTAACATATACATAGTCTCCTTCTCCCAGTATCTAAGGAGAACTCTCAAAGAAGTTTCATGTTATTATCGTTTAGTTTAATTCTAGGTTTGAGTCAATTTGGGGATAAGTAGGCAAATAAATATTTTTGTGTTAGCTCTAACAGTTGAAAAGAGCTTTAGGGGGGCTTCAATTCTTTGACATTCATCTTTAACTTCATTTTACTTTGTGGATCTGGACACAGTTGATAAATCTGCCAGCAACTTCCCAGTTAAAAGGCTGATACTAGTGGCTATGAACTGAATGTGTGTGTTCCCCCCAAATTAATATGTTAAAGCCCTAACTCCCAATGTTACTGTATTTGGAGGTAGGTCCTTTATGGAAGTAATTGAGGTGAAATGGCATCATAAGGGTGGATTCCTCATCCAATAGAACTAGTATCATTAAAAGAAGAGGAAGAGAAACCAGAGTTCACTCTCTCCTGCTTACAAAAAAAGAGTTCATGTGAGCACAGAGAGCTGGTGGCCACCGACAAGTCAAGAGAAGAGGTCTCAGAATGAAACACACTCTGCCGGCACCTTGATCTTGTCTCTCCAGTTTCCAGAACTGTGAGAAATAAATTTCTGTTGTGTAAGCCACACAGTCTATGGTATTTTGTTATGGCAGCTGGAGCAGACAAATGTATTAGCTTTCATTTAGTTATAGGAAACTAATCAGAAATGGTCTTTAGCCAAGAAAGAGTAGACACAGGGAGTCACCTTATCTTGAAAAAAGGTTGAAGTTAATTTAAAATTGCTACAGGCTTTGGAGAGAAACTGTGTGGAGCTCACTGCTTTAATTGTGACATGGCGTTACCTTACAGGGACATTTTTAAACTAGGGCTCGGAGTTGTATGGGGATTACTGTTGTTGTATGCGGTTCTGTGAAGGAAATTGATATTGGAGACATTTAGTAGCTGTCATTACCATCCACTTCAGTCCTTGTCTTTCAAAAATAAGAATGTCTGAAGTTCTAGTACAAAAATGATATGAAAATGTTTTCCCCAATGCCAAAGTTTGCAGTTTTATGAGAGTTGGACAAAGAGGCTATTTGCTTATTAATTTTGAAATTAAAAAGATTTTTTTGGTAGCTTAATGCTAAAGATATGTTCTGAAGAATCTTCCGTAGTCCTTATGGGCTGTGGACAGCTAAAATCGAGTTTATTAATAAAGCTAAGACTATGGGAACTAACCTTATTAGTACAACTTTATGGAAATTCTGTCTTAGTAGTTAATATTTTGTATCTATTAAACCAAAAAATGGTTTAGTCTAAAAGCTAACAGCTTTAAAAAATGATTAGTATGCTTTTGTTTTAATATCACTTAGCCAATTTATATGGTATGTTTTTAAACAAAATGAGATATTTGTTAAAATAAATTTTCCAATTTTGCAGATACAAAAACATCCCAGTCTAGTCAACAACCTTATATTCTCTCCATGTACTCTTTGAGACAACCAGATTCCTCTTTCAACATAAGTTCCTTTGTCTGTTGAAAAAGAAATAGAGGAAGAATGGAGTTACTGAGGCATTGAGTAGTGGGAATGTATGAAGCATAACTATGAAATGACAAAAACGTTTTTATTTTTTGTGTTTCATTTCATTGTAAATTGACATACAAAGTTGTATATATTTATCTTCTACGAGATGATATTTTACAATATGTATGTTGTGAAATGGCTAAATTGAGCTATTTAATGTGCATTACCTTGTAGTTACCATTTTTATGCTGAGAATACTTAAAATCTACGCTCTTACCATTATTTTTTAAAATTTCTTGTCCACAGCATGAATATTCCCTTAGAGTATTCATGTATTTTAAAGAATACAACACATTATTATTAACTGTAGTCACCATGTTGTACAATAGATCTCTTGAACTTAACTGAAATTTTGTCTCCTTTGACAAACGTCTTCTACCCACCGACCCCTCCCCATCCCCCACTGCTCCAGGCCCTGGGAACCACCATTCTGCTCTCTACTTCCACTAGTTCAGCCTTTTCAGATTCCACAAATAAATGACATCATGTGGCATTTGCCTTTCTGTGCCTGGATTATCTCACTAAACATAATGTCCTCTAGATTCATCCATGTTGTTGCAAATAACAGGATTTACTTCTCTTTTTATGGCTAAATAGTACTGCATAGTGTATATACACCACATTTTCTTTATCCACTCATCTGTTGATGAACACTTAGGGTGATTCCCTGTCTTGACTGTTGTGAATACAGCTGCAGTAAACACGGGAGTGTAGATATCTCTTTGAGATACTGACTTCATTTCCTGTGGATATATACCCCGGAGCCAGATTCCTGGGTCATATGGTACTTCTATTTTTAATTTTCTGAGAAACCTCCATACTGTTTTCCATAATGGCTATACTCATTTACATTCCCACCAACAGTGTACAAGGGTTTCCTCTTCCCCACACCTTTGCCAATACTTATCTCTTGTCTTTTTCCTAATAGGCATCCTAATGTGTGAGGTGATATCTCACTGTGGTTTTGATTTGCATTTCCCTAATGATTAGAGATGCTGAGCATTTTCTGATATACCCATTGGCCATTTTTATGTCTTCTTTTGAGAAATGTTGATGTCTATTTTGGTCTTTTACTCATTTTAAAATCATTTGGTTTCTTGCTATTGAGTTCCTCATATAATTTGTATATTAACCCTTTCTCAGATGTATAGCTTGTGAATATTTTCTTCCACTCTGTAGGTTGTCTCTTGAATCTGTTGGTTGTTTCCTTTACTGTGCAGAAGCTGTTTATTTTGATGTAATTCCATTTGTCTATTTTTGCTTAAGTTTCCTGTGTGTTGAGGTCTTATCCAAAAAATCTTTGTCCATACCCATGTCACAAAGTGTTTTCCTTATGCTTCTAGAAGTTTTACAGTTTCAGGTCTTAAATTTGTCTTTAATCCATTTTGAGTTGCTTTCTGTATATGGTGTGGGATAAGGACCTAATCCCATTTTTCTGCATGTGAGTATCTGGTTTCCTCAACACATTTATTGAAGACAGTATTCTTTCTTCAAAGATACTTGGTACCTTTGTCAAAAATCGGTTGGCTGTGAATGTGTGGATGTATTTCTGGACTTTCTATTCTATTATTAATGGTGAGCATTTTTCATATGTTTATTTGCCACCTGCATATCTTCTTTCATAAAATGTCTATTAATACTATTTGTAAATGCCATTCTTCAAAACAATCCTTTTGGGAGACTACATTTATTTCAATAAGAGCTACAGGAAATCAATTTAAAATAATGCTTGGCAGATTATTAGTCAATAGAAGGGAGAGGCTATCTGTTAAAAATGTTGATGTTGGGGAAGATATAAAAGCTCTGAAGATGTGTGGTGGTGATGGTTGCACAACAATATGAATGTGCATGATGCTATAAAACTGTACACTTAATACTGCTAGGAATGGCAAATTTTATGGTATGTATATTTTACCACAATAAAAAACAATATGGACTTAATGACAATAGCATGAAAACGTAGAACATTACAAAGAGAATAAAAATTCTTGCGTAAACTTGCCAAGAAAATGTTAACATTGAAATCACCTCCAGATATAATGAGGAACTATGGAAAGTCATTCCTTTGGTCATGCTATGCCAGTAACATAATGCTCAAACATATTAGCAATTCTTTATTTGGAAAAGTTATGAATCACACAATAAAATCAGTCTACTAACTTTCGGTAACCTTTTAATTTCTGAAAATTTGAGATGATCTGTATGTATCAGTATGTGCTTACATTTGTATTATGTGATTTTCTATTTTTGGTGCTTTGTCCTTCTCCATTAGCTCAAATAATTAAGAGTTGGTGCTCAAATTGAATTGAAATGAATTTCCACCTAATTTGGAATTTCAAAGGGCTTTGCCAGAACATTATAATCCCCATCCCACAAGTCAGAGGAAGGAATGAAAGAATTAATATTTAGAGTCAGGAACCAAGTTTGCATTTCTAATGTTAAGAAAGGTTCTAGTATTAGCCAGGCATGGTGGCTCACAACTGTGATCCCAGCTACTCGGGAGGCTGAGGCATGAAAATCGCTTGAACCAGGAGGCGGAGGTTGCAGTGAGCCAAGATCATACCACTGCACTCTAGTCTGGGCGACAGAGTGAGACTCTGTCTCTAAACACTGTCACTGTTATATAAATTAATTTAATGTTTAGAGGGTTTAAAGCATAAGAAAAGTCTTTATGGGCTGCAAAGGTATACAATGGAAAAATCACAGTCATGATTTTAGGAGATTTCAGAATAAATAGATTCTGTATGGCTTGAAGCCATACATGTGATAAGTTCTGTAGAATCCCCCTAAGGCTCATCCGCACCAGCCTGCAGGCATGAGGGTCTGTCTCGGCTGTTTTGGTGTTGGCTTCTTTTGGGAAGTTGACTCCAAGGTGGCGGTTGCCAACTCAGGGGGAGGAAGATGGTCTAGAGTAATCAATCGTAAACTTGGGTAAAAATTTAAACTGGGGAGAATATATATACCAGGTGGCTGAGGAGACGACCCCTTTGAAGTAGTTTGGGAGACTAGCCATAGAGATAGAGCAGTGCTTCTCAAATGGTTAGGGTTGGAAACTTCTTCCCCCTCCCCAGGGAATATTTGGCAATGTCTGGAGATATTTTTGGTTGTCATAACTTGGGAGAAGCGTGCTTCTGGCATCTAGTGAGCAGAGACCAGGATGCTGCTAAATATCATATTAATGAATAGCACAGCCTCCACAATTATTTGGCCCTAAAGGGTGACAGTTCTGAAGTGATGAAGCCCTATGATAGAAAGGAGGATGTATAGGTGAGCAAAGAAATAGCCATTGTAAGGGATTTGGCCCAAATGAGGACCAAGGTGTTGAATGTTACTGCATTGCACAAAAAAAGACTACATAAATTGCCGTATTTGAGACGGGTTTAAGTGAAGGAGGGGAATGGCAGGTGGGTGGGCAGACTCTTCAGGGGTATTTTTGTAATCTTGGTCAGTGTCCCATTGAGGATAGCCAGGGAAGCCAGGACGTGGAATAGAGTTGAACAGAAATTCTTGACAGGCATTGTGTTAAGTCTGGAGACGAGCAAGACAATACCATAGCTTCAGGCAGCAAAATAAAGCAGAAGAGACGTTAGATAGATGAAATAGGGTAGGCCTGGGTAGATGAACTTGAAAGAAAGTCTGAACAGTCATGGGAGTTAAAATGCAACAAAAGTTAGCAGATAGTACTCTGGTTCTCAAAGCTGAGTGCATATGAGAGTAACTTTGAGAATTAAAAACAAATACTGATGCCTGGGCCCCATCTCAGACCAATGAAATCCAAGTGTTTGGGGGCAGTTTCTAGACTTCAAATATGTTTATAGACATTTCTCAAATGTTGAAAGACATCTCCCAGATGTTTCCAATGTGCAGCTAGGGTTGAGAACTGCTGTCTTAGGACAATAAAGTCTAGGAGAAGGACACAGGGTGACTTGAACTGTACACTCTGAAATATGCTACCATCTAAGATTAGGGACTGCTTGTCCTCTGCCCTGGTGTTTTGCTACCTGTCCTTTACAGGGATGTGTGTGGGCAGAGGCTGGGAGGTGCACATGCTGGGTGGCTTTGCGGAGGGCCTTCAAGGCGTACATCCTGATGATAAACAGAACTAGGCAGGCAGGGGCTCACTTCTTATTAATGATGAATGACTGAGGTTTAGATGCAAACTTCCAGGGAGTCCCCAAATTAAAGTGCTGAGGTGCTAGCTTATAATGAAAAATTAGGAATAAATTACATAGACACTTAAAAACAATGTCCTATTTTGCACGTGCATATATGTGTATATATATGTACAGATATCTCAAGGAAAGTGCATCATAATTTTCTTTCTTTCTTTTTTTTTTTTTTGAGATGGAGTCTTGCTCTGTCACCAGGCTGGAGTGCAGTGGTGTGATCTCGGCTCACTGCAACCTCCGCCTCCTGGGTTCAAGCAATTCTCCTGCCTCAGCCTTCCAAGTAGCTGGGACTACAGGCGCGTGCCACCATGCCTGGTTAATTTTTTTTTGTATTTTTAGTAGAGACGGGGTTTCACCATGTTAGCCAGGATGGTCTTGATCTCTTGACCTCGTGACTCGCCTGCCTTGGCCTCCCAAAGTGCTGGGATTACAGGTGTGAGCCACCTGGCTGGAAAGTGCACACTTTTCTCTACAGGTAGCTGGTAAAGGCAGCCTGTTGCCCAAGGAAAGACAATGGGCTGGGCAGTATAGTGCCCCTGATGGCCTTCTTTTTGGTGGGGCATCTCTTTTTTGCCTTTTCCAGATCTAAGAAAACCTTCCTTTCTAGTAGAAAGGGAATATGAGCAAAAGCATTCTTTGTCTGGGACATATTTAAAGGGACTGAGTAAGTGACTGGTGGTGAGAATCTGTTCTGATTTCATTTGTCTCTGGCAGGGCCTAGTGGCAATTTAATATTCTTTATTATTATTTTACATGCAACTTCCTTCCTAGCTTATGATTCCTGTCAGGACTGTGTATTATTATCCATTAGTCATTTCTCTTGGGTTGGCCTATAATGCTTCAAAGGAGGGCTGGTATATTTCAGTAATTTTGCTTACAATTTGATTTGTGTTCTCTAGAATCCCAATTTAGTTTCATCAGCACATTTCAGTGTACAACAGCTGGGCCCCTGGATGGGATCATTTACATATGTTAGCAGCTGAAATCTGAGCATCAGGAGCCCAGGATCTGGCCAGATATTTTTCCTAGAGCCTCACCTGACTTTTTTTTTTTTTTCAGAAAAATTTTATTTTATTTTTTTTGACCTTAAAAATGTTTTAACTAATAAATTTAAGTTTTTTGATTAGGTAATACATTTGCACAGATCATAAATTTAAAAGTATATAAAGGTATACACTGAAAATCTCCCTCCAGCCTGGTCTCCTGTTCATCCATTTCCCACTCCTTTTCCCCAATGACTAACCATCGTATTTAGTTTCTTATGTAGGTTGCATTTACAGATTTTATGAACATTGAAGCAAATATGAATATATATTTCCCCCCACATTATTTTTACACAAGTGGAAGCATAATGTGTACATTGTTCTGTATCCAAGTTTTTTTCATTGAAGAATATATTTGGGAGATTTGTTCATATTAGAGCATAAAAAGCTTTCTCATTCTTTTTTTACACTTGCATAGAGAATATGTGACTTCCTCATATGGAAATACATATGTTTAACTTCTTGAGATCAGTGATCTATCCAACTTGGTGTTGTCTTTTTGACTGTGGCACAAAAAAACATTTTGTGGCATCATGGGATGGCTGTCCTCTTTGAAATATCTTCCTAACATTTTAAAATTTTTAACTGGCACATAATAATGGTACATGTTTGTGGGGTACACTGTGATGTTTTGATATATGCATACATTGTATAATAATCTATAATCAAATTGGAGTATTAGCATGTCTGTCACATCACATTTATCATTTCTTTGTGGCGAGAACATTCAAAATCCTTTCTTCTAGCTATTTTGAAATCTAAAATATAATATTGTTAATCACAGTCACTCTACTGTGCAATAGGACACCAGAAGTTATTCCTCCTACTGGTAACTTTGTACCCATTGATGAACCTCCGAATTAATATTAAAATGTCCACATTATCCCAAGCAATCTACAGTTTCAATGCAATCCCTATCAAGATACCAAAGATATCTCAAAGAAATAGAAAAACAATCCTAAAATTCATATGGAACTACGAAAGACTCCAAATAGCCAAAGCAATCTTGAGCAAAAAGAACAAAGTTGGAGGCATCACACTACCTGACTTCAAAATAATACAAAGCTATAGTGACCAACACAGCATGAGACTGGTATGAAAACAGACACATAGACAAGTGGAACAGAATAGAGAAGCCAGAAATAAATCCATACACTTTTACTGAACTGATTTTTGGCAAAAGTGTCAAGAACACACCATGGAGAAAGGACAGTCTCTTCAATAAATGGTCCTGGGAAAACAAGATATCTACATCCAGAAAAATGAAGCCAGACTTCTGTCTCTCACCATATACAAAATCAACTCAAAATGGTTTAAAGACCTGAAACTGTAAAACTTCTAGAAGAAAACATAGAGAAAATACTTCATGATATGGTTGTGGACAAAGATTTTTTTTGGATAAGACCTCAAAAGCACAGGCAACCTAAGTAAAAATAGACAAATGAGATGACATCAAATTAAATTGATGTCACGGCAAAGGAAACAAACAACGGAGTGAGGAGACAGCCTACAAAATGGGGGAAAGTATTTGCAAACCATATATCTGATAAGGGGTTAATATAAAAAATGTGGGAGGAACTCAACTCAGTAGCAAAAACTCAAATAATCTGATTAAAAATGGCAAAAGACCTAAATAGATATTTCTCAAAAGAAAACATAAAATGGACAGTGGGTATATGAAAAATGCTCAACATAATTAATCATCAGGGAAATGCAAATCAACACCACTGTGAGATATCACCTCACGTTAGGACGGCTATTCTGAAAAAGACAAGAGGTAAGTATTGGCAAAGGTGTGGGGAAGAGGAAACCCTTGTACACTGTTGGTGGGAATGTAAATGAGTATAGCCATTATGGAAAATAGTATAGAGGTTCCTCAAATTAACAATGGTACATATTTATGGAGTACAATGTGATGTTTTGAAACATGCATTCATTAGAACTATTATATAGAACTATTGTATGACACAGAAATCTCACTCCTGAATATATATCTTCAGGAAATAAAATCAGTATCTCCAGGAAATATCTGCACCCCCATGTTTATTGCAGCTTTATTCACTGTAGACAAGATATGTAATCATTCTAAGTGCCCATCAGCAGATGAATGGATAAAGAAAATGTGTATATACACAATGGAAAAAGGAAGGAAATCCATAAAATCCATTAAAAAAGAAGGAAATCCTGTCATTTGTGGCAAAATGAGAGAACTTGGAGAACATTGTGTTTAGTAAAATAAGCCAGTTACAGAAAGGCAAATACTGCATGATTTCACTTACACATGGAATCTAAAGAAGCTGAACTCGTAGAAGTAGAGAAGAGAATGGTGGTTACCAGAGGCTGGGAAGGGGAGGGTGGAGGGGTGGGTAAGGAGAGATTGGTTAATGAGTACAAAGTGGTCTGACTTTTTGAAATAAAGTCTGCCTTCCTATTTGTAACTATCTGTGTCAGCGACGCTATCATGTGGACGATTTTTACAAAACATAGGTGTCTAGGCAACTTTTGAGCTGAAATGCTTTTATAAAAAGTCTTACAGAATAATCAGAGAACGTGTTCTGTCCTACTTCACCGTCAAGTGAAAATATTGCCCCCTCACATTAGAAATATCTTTCTTGTTAGATATACAATAGGGGAATCAATTTCTTAATCGGTCAGTAATCGCCTTGAAGGCAGATAATCCATTGACCTAAAAATCATTGTGATTGAGACCCTGAGCATGGGTTTCCAAACAGCTGACATTACACAGCCATGACACGAGAAGGGCATTGTGTGAGGCTTGTGCATAACTCAGGTTTCTTTTCACCATTTTCTTTGCTTCCGTTTAAATGCTTTAACTGTGGTCTTGCTCTGTGTAGCAGGCTGAAAAATGATACCTTTTTCCCCAAAGGTATCTACATCCTAATTCCTGGAACCGGTAATCATGAATAAAGTGGCTTTGCAGATGTTAAGGATTTTGATATAGGGAGATTATTCTGGGTATCCTTGTGGGCCCTAAGTGCCATTGGAAGTGTCCTTACAAAGGAGAGGCAGAGGGAGATTTGAACACAGACAGACCAGGAGGAGGCCACGTGAACACAGAGGCAGAGATTGCAATGATACGGCTGTAAGCCAAAGAACGCTGCAGCCACCAGAAACTGTAAGAGGCAAGAATGCATTTTTCCCTAGAGGGAGGGTGACCCTGCCAACACCTTAATTTCAGCCTAGTAAAACTGATTTTGGACATCTGGGTCACCCTCTGGACTGTGAGAGAATATATTTCTGTTGTTTTAAGCCACCAATTCTGTGGCAATTTGTTTCAACAGTCATAGGAAATGAATATAGTCTTGGAGAGTTTACCCTGTCATTCTTGGACAGGTAGTTTATTTATAGATTCATGATTCTAGTATCTTAATGGCACTGTATTTTTTTTTTTTTTACTCCTGGAAATGAATTATTAATTTACTTGATATTTTTCATTTGGTATCTCATTTGTGATCAATTTATTCTACTGAGTATTTTCTGTTTGGGCAACTGATGACTAGTAGAGTACATAAAATGTGTAGGTTCATTGGATCTGCTTAAGTGGTTTACAGATATGGGACAAAACATATAAATAAATAATTTAGAAGACTCAATATTCCAAGAAGGAGAGAGAATATTCTCTGCTATGTTTTAAACATTTCTCATTTCACTGTTTTACTCCCCTTTCCAATTTCTGTGAGACAGATAGAGGCACTGTATCTTATCAGCATAAAATAGTGTTCAGTAAGGTACCTTAGAATTGAAATTACACTCTTTAGAGTGGCTACTGGTATGAGTTACAGAATATTGTAATTCTGGGCTAAAGTGGGGAAAATACAGTCAGAGTGTCCTTATCCTCTTTAGTCAATAGCAGAATGCTGTCAGGCTTCACCTTTACTTCCTCTGCTGTTATTTGGCCATGATTCACTGGGGCTAGCTTGTGAGTTATATGACACTGTAATATAAATGTCACTGAGGATAATGTGGGCTTTGAGGGGAGCCTATTTTTACACCAGTTGTGGTACCCAGTGAAATGTTTCAGAAAAGCTAATGGATTTTAATTTCAGCCAAAGGTCCTGGAAATATGGATGAAACAAACTGCTAGAAATTTGAAAAATATTCTTCATAAAAGTACTTCATGAATTTTTATATTAAAAACCAGAGAAATATAATTCTTTTTATAGTAATTGACCCCTCATTGTAACTGCTTCTTATAGGGTACAGTCAGAACTTTATAATCAAGTTGGAAAAACTGAAATGGTTTTCTTTTGCAAAGAATTTCAATACATGCTGTATGTGGCTATGTGTTTGCTACAAGATATCAATAAGCAAATATTTTTTGAAGACTTACAACTTCATAACAAAAATTATTAAGTAAATTCTCAGTTAAATGTAAATGATTCTATTTTCCCAAAAACCATGGGAGAACTCTCTTCAAAGATAGGTATATTAGTCCGTTCTTGTATTGCTATGAAGCAATACCTGAACTGGGTAATTTATGAAGAAAAGAGGTTTCACTGGCTCATGGTTCTGCAGGCTTGACAGGAAGCATAGCAGCTTCTGCTTTGGGGAGGCTTCAGGAAGCTTCCAATCATGTCAGAAAGCGAAGGGGGAGCAGGCACATCATGTGGTTGGAGGAGCAAGAGAGAGAGGAGGGAGGTGGTGCCACACAATTTTAAAGAACCAGATCTGGGAGGCTGAGGTGGGCGGATCACTTGAGGCCAGGAGTTTGAGACCAGCCTGGCCAACATGGTGAAACCCCGTCTCTACTAAAAATACAAAAAATTATCCAGGTGTGATGACACGCATCTGTAATCCCAGCTACTCAGGAGGCTGAGGCAGGAGAATTGCTTAAACCTGGGAGATGGAGGTTGCAGTGCACCAAGATATTGCATGACTGTCCTCCAGCCCGGGCAACAGAGCAAGACTCTGTCTCAAAAAAAAAAAAAAAAAAAAAAAAAGAACCAGATCTCATGAGAACTCATTCATGATTGTGAAGACAGTACCAATGGGAATGGCGCTAAACCCATCCTGAGAAGTCTGCCCCCATGATCCAGTCACCTCCCACCTCAACACTGGGGATTACAATTTGACGTGAGATTTGCTGGAGACACTGGTCCAAACCATATCAACAGGTTTGAGTCATTTGTAAATGTACACTGAATGCTTAATTTTGTTTGTGGGAAGTACCTAGTACTTTACAGTTTTCACGTGGTCTCTCCCTTCCTTCCATAATTCATTCTAAGGCACTGCAGTAGGTACTGATTGAAGAAAATATGACAATGTCTTTGATATAAAATATTTAATTAAAGCCCTTATGGAGTTTCAGAGATACAAAGCAGTTGTGAGCAAGGTGGGCCTGAGATCAAATTGAGAGAGAAGCTTCTCACTTCAGAACGGATCCCCCAAACCTCTCATTATGTTGAGA
Organism: Homo sapiens; assembly: GCF_000001405.40. Lineage (NCBI taxonomy): Eukaryota > Metazoa > Chordata > Mammalia > Primates > Hominidae > Homo > Homo sapiens. Next base: position 76,862,956 of record NC_000013.11, on the reverse strand, counting down.
GATGGGTTATACATGTATAATTTTTATGTGTAAAATAAAACTTTGATAGTGGAAATGATGAAAATAATTATAGGATCCTCTGAAGGGACAATCTGAGAACTAACCAGAGAGATGACTAATGAATTATGGATTTTATTTTCCAGTGAAATCTCTTCTATCACAGTTACCTGAGAAATTTTATATTGTGCATGTTGAAGAAAATGAAAATCATCTAACAACACACTCTGTTGTTCATTTGTTTATTTTACCTAAGAAAAAAACCTCAATTTTTTTTGTACAACTACTTCAATGCAATTATCCTATAACCAGTCAAAAAATGTGCCAGAATAGCATGGTAGACATATATGCTTTATATGATCAGTATTTTAAAATATGAGTAAAAACAATTTTATTAATTGAAACTACGATGAAAGCAGATGAAACTACGATGAAAACATACTCCAGCTGAGTATATTTTCTTTAACTGAGGCAATACATATTAACTTACCTACTTAATATACTAAAAATATCAGAAGGTAGATAGTGAAATGATCTTAGATAAAGTTGAAATTTGCTAAGCTAAAATAATGAAATGATTGATTGGGTTGTGGAAAAGGAAATGAAAGATGGGAAATAGAAATTTAGTTTCTTTGAATTTAGAGTAAAATGAAATTGGTGTTCAGAGAAGTAATGTGGATACCTGGTCTCTATCTGGAGGGAAGGACAGGCGGAATCGATTGTAGGGAAGGTGAGAAATAACAATTTTGGTTTTTTAGAAATCACATGTAAGTATTTCCTTGCAACCCTCCAGAGGCCATGCCTTTGCTCCATGCTGTGAGTCCTGCTGCTCACTTCTGACTTCCTACTGTTTTGAGTTCTTGACACTGGCACTTCCCAGCTCTCACACTTTGTCAGAAGTCCTGGCTATCTAAGAACCAGGCTGCTGGAGCTGAGATTCTCATTGGATTGTCAGCCAGAGAAGGTGTGATAGAGTGGAAAATGCAGGATTTCGACACAGGAGACCTAGTTTTCAATCCTGGCACTAACCCTTATTAAATCTATGACCTTGGTGAGTCATTTATCTTCTTTGTGCTTCAGTTTTCTTACTATAAAATGGAAGGACCTCATAGTTTTTTTTTTTTTTGAACACTACATAAAATAGCATATATAAATGTTACTAAAAGTGATTTGTAAGTGGTAAGAGATCAATCCTTTTTTTTCTTTCTAAAGAACACCTTTTTGTTCAGCCAGTCATTGAATCACCTTCTCTTGGTGGCAGTGTATATTCTAAAGATTCCTTGGAGATATTACACAAATATTTTATTATTGTAAAATAATAACCAGGCTGGGCATGGTGGCTCATGCCTGTAGTCTCAGCACTTTGGAAGGCTAAGGTGGGAGGTTCCCCTGAGGCCAGGAGTTTGAGATCAGCCTGGGCAACAAAGCAGGACCCCATCTCTACCAAAAAAAAAAATTAGCCAGGCATGGTAACACCTGCCTATAGTCCCAGCTACTTGGAAGACTGAGGCTGGAGGATTGCCTGAGTCCAAGAGTTCAAGCCTGCAGTGAGCTATGATTGTGCCACTGCACTCCAGCCTGAGAAACAGTGAAACTCCATCAGAAAACGAAAGAGCAGAAGAATTAAGGACTTGGTATGTGCATATGCCTGCAGGTACATATCATATATTTTGGGGCATATTTTCTTTTCCTTTCTTCTTTTTTTCCATATTTTTTTTTCTCATGAACTGCATAGAGAAAGGTGGATGAGTTAGTTTCCAGACTGGACTAACTTGGGCTGAGGTTAGAGAGATTAGTACAAATTTGGATGTTGGCATAGTGCTGTCAACAGGCACCCCAGACAAACTTTTGTATTTTGTTTTCATTGCTACAATTTGGTTGTTTTGGTAACTCTTCATTTTTAAGCACCTATTCTTACTTCCTACCATTTTCCATTTTTGCCTCCAGAGAAGCAATACAACATGATGTTTGTGCAGTTGACCAGACCAAGTTATCCCAAAAACCCATTTCCCAAGAGCTAAGAAATGCCTTAGGCTTATGTTTCTCAGGAGGAATTTCCCTGTACAAAGAGGAGTGAGTAAGCCCATTATAGGGTAAGCCGGAATGGGGAAAGACCTTTTCCAACTTTTCTCCTTCTTTAAGTGTGATCCTTGCCAGAATTTGTAGGTGGAGGCCAGAATTTGCAAATGTAGGGAACAGATATCGTATATTTAAATAAATGAATTAGCTGCCAATTTTTCAAATTCAGTAGATTTCCCATCCAGGTCTAGATTCAGGTTTATCTTGAAAAAGATCTGCAACGTCTCAACAGGGTAACAACTGATGACAAATAACTGCCTTTAGAAGGACAAGTAATCACCAGTTCTCTCTCGTCTCACATAATTGCTTAAATTACCTGTTTGGCCCTTGTAGGCATCAGGATTTGCCAAACACGACCTACACTTAGCATTGCTTACCCACCACCACCTCTCCTGGCCACATCTTCCCTCTTTCTGCCCTGCCATCCACCCACACGGATAGGTTTTTCCAGCAGGACCCATGAGCTCAGGAAAAACAAGAACTGGTTTTTAGACGAAAAACAGGGTTTACCATAGCAAACCAATCATATTCAAAACCACACACCATAATTTCAGAAATGCCAGTTCTGTTTTTTGTTTCATTTGAGGAGTGAATAATCTTATTTTGGAAGCTAAAACTATAATTAGAGCATTACAGTGGTAACAGTATTATGGAATCATTTAAAAAGCACTGGAGATGATAAAGAAAGATTGGAACTAAAAGGATAAAAAAAGACAAATCGGGCAAATTCCCCCAAAAAGAAAGCTAGTATACCTATATTAATTCATTAAAAAATAAAATTTAAAGCAAAAAATCATTTTTAGGGATAAGGATAACATGTTCAATTCTCTAGAGCCATGTAATACTTTTAGATTTGGATGCACCTAATAATACAGCTTCAAAATATACAAAGCAAAATGACAACTAGGGAGAGAAATAAACAAGTCAACAATCATCATGAGAAATTTGAACACGTCTCTCTTAGTAACTAACAGCAAAATCTAAGAGAGACAATTTGAAAAACATATTAACAAATTTGCTGTAATGATCATTCAAGAACTGGAGAATGTATTTCTTTTTAAGAACAATTGGGTTAGTTATACAAATTGATATAACTTGGGCCATAATGGAAGTCAAAACACATTTAAAGATTAAAATAATACAGAGCATATTTTATGACAACAAATACAGTTAAGTTAGAAATCACGAACAAAAAGATAACTGGAAAAAATTAATGTATGTGAAAATTAAGAAAAATTTCTAAATAACTCATGATCAAAGAAAAAATTGTAGCAGAAATAAGAAGGTACTTAGAACAACATCCAAATAAAGACACTACATATAGAAAGTGTAACCAAAGCTGTATGCAGAGGGAAATTTTTAGTCTTCAATTTATATATTTCAGAAAAATTTTAAGTTAATAAATTTGAAAATATAGATGAAATCCTAGAAAAGTATAGCTCCCGCAAACTGACCCAAGGTGAAATAAAAAGACTTTTATAGTGTTACATAGTGAACACTATGTGCTTAGATAACTTTACCAGAAGTTTTACAAAATCTTTAAGAAACGAATGTCCAATACTGTACACACTTAGAGAATAGAAAAAGAGGAAAAGAGGAATAGAGTACAAAATAAAAAACTCTTCTAAATCAATAAGCAAAAGACATTCCTATAGAAAAGGAGGCAAAATAACATTTGAATAACTAAAAATATGAAAAATTCTTCAACCTCAACCCCTTCCCTTTCCTCCTCCCCTTTATATATATGCATATCTATATGCGTATATATATATACACACACATGTGCATATGAGTATTTACATATCTATACACACATATATGTGCATATGAGTATTTACATATATATACACATGCACACACATACATATACATATACACATACATATACATATACATATACATATACATATACATATACATATGTTCTTTTGTCCAGGGAAACAGTGGTCTTATTTATCAGTATATCCACAGAATATAGAACATGGAACAGGATCTGGCTCATAGTAGGTCCTTAATAAATATTTATATATACCTATAAACAAATATGTATAGTTGAAATCATCCAAGTGGAAGAGAGAAAGCACAAAGAGAAAGTGAATAGAATAATAAAAGAAGAAAGCCAAGGGTGAAACTCCAGACTACTAATATGCAAAGGGTATAGAGATCAGGTAGGGGCCTGAAGAACAGGTGGGTGAGAATGGAAGCTGAGAAGGGAGAACATGTCAGTATCAACTAAGATACCTTTGGCTGCAAGGAGCTGAACCCCTAAGAGTGGCTTAGTCAATAAGGACTTACTGTCTCACATACAGGAAATCCAGGCGTAAGTGATTCCAGGGTTAATTCAGCATTTCTTTCACATCAGTGCTCTGTTAGCTGTTCATTATCCTGGCTTTCCTCTCATGGTCATCCCCCACCTCCCCTCCCCCCCAGAAAAAGCTGTCACAGAGCCAAACATCAAAAACTGAGTTCAAGAGCATGAATTGAGCATTGGGAGGAATTTATCCTCAGATCTCATTGGCCAAAGCTGGGCTGTATGTACCAACTCCTGCACCCATTACAGCCATGAGGAATGAGATTACATGAGGATTGGTTTGAGCCAACATGGTTCATCTCTTGGAGCTAGGGGAGAAGCCTACTTCCTCCAAACACAACTGGCACTGTGTTGGCAAGGTGCCATGCATGTGTGCATGGGGTAACCCCTGCTGGGTAGACAATTGATAGTTTATCTGTCACTGGGCGTGTCACAGGATTCAGGGAAAGAGATGTGCAAGGAGTTAATTGTGGCTGGGGGGTCATTCATATAAGACAAGGGTTGAGTATGACTACTGCATTTGACAACAGAGACAACATTGATGGCAGCGGCAAAGGCATTTTTTTGTGGAGCTGGGGGAGGAAATTAAGGGGAACAGGCAAGTTTATGGTGAGTTAAAGAGTAAATGGGGAGGCAGGAATGGAGGTAGGAAGGGAAGATGACTCTGAAAGGTTTTGGCTGAGAGGGAGATCAGAGATGATGGAGCTGGCCTGGGCCTCTGCCCTGTCCCAGTCAGGAGCTCTATCCATTTAGCTCCAGCTGGGCCTGCATCAGTTGTGGCATTCCCTGTCTGTGTGTTTCAGAAATTTAAAAATAACTCCCATATATGATAGTACTAACTTATTACCCATTTTTCTGACCTTTCCCGTTACTTTTCTTTGACCCTTTTTAGTTCCAACATTTCCTTCATGAGAACTATATAGTGTTTACTTATAGACATATGAGTGAGTCAATATTTTTGTTGAATTTAAAATAACTTTTCTCATGCTACAAATGGTTATCATAAAATAATTATCATAAAAAGTACAACAAAATGGAAAGATGTGGAAGGAAAAGGCGTGAGCCACTGCGCCTGGCCTATTTTATTTTTAATCTAATTTCTGTGATGTTTAGGATAAGGGTTTTTACTTCTAAAAATTGATTTTTGGTCGGGTGTGGTGGCTCATGCCTGTAATCCCAGCACTTTGAGAGGCCGAGGCAGGCAGATCACTTCAGGTCAGGAGTTCGTGACCAGCCTGGCCAACATGGTGAAACCCTGTCTCTACTAAAAATACAAAAATTAGCTGGGTGTGGTGGCATGCGCCCGTAATCCCAGCTACTCGGAAGGCTGAGGCACGAGAATCTCTTGAACCCGGGAGGCGGAGGTTGCAGTGAGCTGAGATCGTGCCACTGTACTCCAGTCTGGGCGACAGAGCAGGAGCTTGTCTCAAAAAACAAAAATTAATTAATTAATTTTTAAATTGGCAAGTCAAAATTATATATATTTATCATGCACATCATGAGGTTTTGAAATACATATATATATATATATATATATATATATATATATATATATGAAATGGCTAAATCGAGCTACTTATTATATGCATTACCTCTTATATTTTGTGGTGAGAACACTGAAAATCTACTTTCTTGGTGATTTTCAAGTATATAATATGTCATCATTAACTGCAGTCACCATGTTGTGCAATAGATCTCTTGAACTTTCTCCTTCCATCTAATGGAAATTTTGTATCCTTTGACAAACATCTCCTTAACCCCTGTCCCCTTTACACCCCAATAACTGCCATTCTACTCTCTACTTCTGTGAGTTTAATGTTTTTAGATCTCACATACAAGTAAGATCATGTGGTATTGGGGCAGGAGAATAAAGTCTGGAGGCAAGGAACTTAAGGCCAATTCATGCTGACTTCCTAGAACCAAATCAAAAGGAAAACCCCAACTTTCCACACCCAAGTAACAAAAGGATCAGAGGTGACTCCCTTTGCAACACCCTGCCTTTTCTGTGTGGCAAATGAAAAACTGAAAATACCTCTGATTGGTCCCCTCCTGCAATCAATCAGACTGGTCTTGGGCCAAGTCTTCATTTGCATTGGAGTATGAATCAGGCTGCTGGTGGGCCAAGTCTTCATTTGTAACTACAGTCTCTGATTGGTCACTTCCCACAACCAATCAGACATTTGCATAGGGTATAACTTGTAACTTCATGTCAGCCTCTCACTGGTCCCCTCCACAATCAGACTGATCTTGGGCAACTACTTTATTTACATAAGGTGTACACCAAGTAACCAATGGGAAACCTCTAGAGGGTATTTAAACCCCAGAAAATTCTGTAACCACGCTCTTCAGCTGCTTGATTGAGCCAGCTCACACCCTGTGGAATGTACTTTCATTTTCAGTAAATCTCTGCTTTTGTTGCTTCATTTTTTCCTTGCTTTGTCTGTGCATGTTGTCCAATTCTTTGTTCAAGACACCAAGAACCTGGACACCATCCACCAGTAACAGTATTTGTCTTTTTTTGTTGTTGTTGAGATGGAGACTTGCTCTGTTACCCAGACTGGAGTGCAGTGGCATGATCTTGGCTCACTGCAACCTCCGCCTCCTGGGTTCAAGCAATTCTCCTGTCTCAGCCTCCCTAGTAGCTGGGACTACAGGCGCGCACCACCATGCCCAGATAATTTTTGTATTTTTAGTACAGACAGGGTTTCACCATGTTGGCCAGGATGGTCTTGGTCTCTTGACCTCATGATCTGCCTGCCTCGGCCTCCCAAAGTGCTGGCATTGCAGCCGTGGGCTACTGCACTGGCCAACAGTATTTGTCTTTTTGCCCTGGCTTATTTCACTCAACATAATATCTTTCAAATTTATCCATGTCACAAATGGCAGATTTCCTCCTTTTTTTAAAGGCTGAATGGTATTCTATAGTGTGTATATACCACGTTTTATTTATTTATTTGTTTGAGAAGGAGTCTCACTCTGCTGCCTAGGCTGGAGTGCAGTGGTGTGATATTGGCTCACTGCAACCTCCGCCTCCTGGGTTCAAATGATTCTCCTACTTCAGCCTCCGGAGTAGCTAGATTACAGGCACGTGCCACCACGCCCGGCTAATTTTTGTATTTTTAGTAGAGATGGGGTTTTGCCATGTTGGCCAGGCTGGTCTCGAACTCCTGACCTCAAGTGATCTGCCCACCTCAGCCTCCCAAAGTGCTGGGATTACAGGCATGAGCCACTGTGCCCTGCCCACATTTTAGCATAAGGATTTTTTTTTTAAATCCACAATAATATATGTGACTGAGACACCTATGATTACCTTAATAAATTTGGAGTCAGTAAATTTTCAGCCTTTAGGCTTTTTCCCACAGGCCAAATATTTTTAGTTTGGAGGTAATGCTGTGTTGCGACAGAACATTCTCTAGAAAATATTTATTTTGCCTTTTACTGGTGTGTCTAGTTAGTGAATTCTGTGTAGAATCTCTTACATTTGATTAAAGCATTTGAATTGATGTGAGTAATGCTTAAATTATTTATGCCTCAAAGGGCTTTTCCTACTTCTAACCTGCTTTATTCTCTATTATATATTAAGCCACTAGGACTAAACAAAGCTGTAAATTGGCTTTGAATAGAAATAGTGCTTAGATCTGTGAAAAAAATCACTGATCCCAAATGTAAACTTTAGGCCTTCTGCAATCTCTTAGAACAGAGAAAAGGCAATCTTATAACTTTTGCTGACTGCCAAAGGATTTTCAATAGCTAGTGCATTGATGTACAGCTCTGAAAGTGTCTGATTTTTTTTTTTTTTTTTTTTCCTTTCTGCCTGGAGGCTCAGTTCCAGCTCATGGAAGTTTGCTGGCCCATGGATTTGCTTTAGTGTGGCAGTCATGGAGCCTGGAGTACTATCCTCACATAATAATGTGTTTGCGATTTGGGAATGATCTTTGGTGGGTAGCAAGGGGAATTAGAACCCAGTTAACTCACCACATTGGTACTTTTATATACCAGAAATAGCTCCTATTGACTTTTCTAGTTTTCACATAGAATCTTATATGTTATTTGTTAGATATAGGCTTATTTTTCTTTTATGATAATTCAGAATTCACACACTTAGAATAATTATTTATTACGCAATTTGCTTTTTAGGACTTTATGTTCCATATCTCTGCCAAGGGTTTTGCAGTGACCTGTGAGAACTATGTCACACGGGCACATCACAGACAACTGTTCCATTTTTACACATTTTGCTAACTGGTTGAGGTTAGGTTGTAGGCTAAAATTGTCCACGATGAGGGTATTTATACCATGGAAATCAGCAAACACTGCAAATCAGGACCCCTCCTGGCCCTAACTCCCCTGGGGCTGATGGATAGCTATTTATCAGCAGGCTACTACTTTTCAGTTATTTTTGAAAGCACTAGGAAGTTTAACCTATCAGGCTAAAGTTCAATAGATATGAGGTAGAATAAAAAGGTTAGTTATCAGATGTTGCTCATTCTACCAGTGGATACTTGTGAAATGCTATCATTTACTCAAACATAGTCATTTAAAATATGACAGACAAATTGAATGTGGGAAGAAAGAAGCCACAAATAGAAAGCACACATTACAGTAAATGTAGAAAAATAGACAACCGAGATAAGAAAATAGAAAGCCAAAGGGAAAATAAAAATCTTGAAGAATGGACAGGAAGAAGACTGTGCTAAACAAAATTGGCACTAAAATTGAATTTGAGAAGTACAGAGAGGTTAAAAAAAGGCATAAAAATGGAGTAGCTTTGAAAATGGTGAGCAGTGCTGACCTGGTGAAGTCATGTCTTCCACCCAAGCTGACCTTGCTGAGATGGTGGTATTAAAACCGCCAGCCTTGGAAAAACAACACATCTTGCCCTTGGCATTTTGGAACATACTTAGGGAATAGCATTATGAGTAGGTGACTGCATTATTTATTGTCCAAACTTGGGCTTTTATGAGTGAAATGGGGCACTATTGACCATAACTTCTGGACAACAATGTGAACTGGAGCCATTGGCAGCAAACTGGAATGTATGTAATTATGGGCTTTACTTACTATTGGCCACTGGTTTCTAATCCAATAGGTTAAAAGAACTTGACTGATAAAGATTACAATGAAAGGAGTAAAATAAATATTCCTGGAGTCTATAATTATTAAATGTAGATAGTTATTTTCCCATTATGAGAAAGTTAATAAAGGAAAAGAATGTGACTCATAATACTGTTGACTAAACAAGAAAAGAATGTGAAGTCTGAGGCTCAAATGTGGGAACCTTGTTGCCCCCTTGTCCCCTCTGACCTTGGTGGAGTCCTGGGGTAATTGTTCTTGTTGTAACTGTCAACTCTGGTGATAGTAGGCCTGGAAGCCCTCCCAGCTCGTTACTTACCAAGTCCTCTTACACTCTTTATGCTAATGTGTCTAGTCTTTTTTCTTTGTGCTGCCTAAGTGGTTAAGTTTCCCACAGCATGCAACACCTGAGTATGAATCCTCAGTATTGCCCAAGAACCTGGCTGCATTCCACAGGACGCCCAAACTATGGAACTCTGTGGTTTTCTTCCCTTAAACTCACCATCCTTCATCTAAAGTATATGTTTTAGCCAGCTACCAAAAATCTGTTTCTCAGGAACTGGTACAGGTTTTCTTTAGAAAATCACCAATTTTCTGATTTTCATGGCTTCTCTAAGGGACTGTTGAATTATGCACTCCACTTGTACCCCAGTATCTGGGCACACCTTCCTCATGACACGATGGGGCTTGGGACTGCAGGGTGATTTCATGCTCTGGTGCTTTGGCCATATCTTCCAGCACATTCATTTCACTTCCTAAGAAATGGATCAGCTTCTTTAAAAATTCAGTATCTGAGGTGAGGGACTTATAAATCCCTTTCCTGGCAGCTCTCTCCACAAGTATGTTCCTAGAAATCTAAGTTCATCATTCTGTAAGGGAAGCTCTGGTAAGACTGTGTTCCCATTCCTTTACCCTCAATATCACAGTGAGCGTGCCATACTAGTACCGTCCAATAGACGTTTCTGTGATGGTGGAAATGTTCTAAATCTGCACAGTTCAATATAATAGCCTGTTTGCCCAATGTGGCTATTGGGCACTTGAAATGTGGCTAATGCAACTGAGAACTAAATTTGTAACTTAATTTGATTTAATTTCACTTACATGTAATTAGCCACATACAATGAGTGGCTCCAGTACTGGAAGGTACATCTCGGTACCAACCCAGATGCTGTAAAATCAGCCTACTTAGTGATATCCTTGCTACGTAGTAGTCCAGCAGTATTTCCCAATATTTCCCAAACAGATGTGATCTGTAAGGGCCCACACTGATACCACTGAGATCATTTAGAAGTCTTACTTTAATTTTCCCTATTATCAAAGAGCTGAATTCCAGAAAGGGAAGTTAGTCTATGGTGTAAAACAACATTGCACCAGAATTTGGACTGCTTCTGGTGAAATACCACCTCCCCGCAAAAGCATAAGCATTTCTTCAGGCTCCCCAATCTAATAAGGTACAAATAATATAAAATAATAGGGCTCACCAGAATACTACGAATGCTTGACTAGTATGTGAATATTATTCATAAGAACTCTATGACTACTGCCATCATCTGACTCAATCTCTCTCATTATTGCAACCAATGGAACTTTCAAATATTCCCTGTTCCTGAGAAGAACCGAGTATAGGTAAGAAGTGGTCGCTGTTACAGCCATTGGTGGTGCCAGTTGCTCCCTTTGCAAGGGTGGGCTGAGAGCTCCTATGCTGGTCATCATCTCGTGGCTGCTCGCTTTACTGCCCGTATCATTTTCCTCTTTTGTAGACATGTCATCATGGACTCACAGCTTCTTCCAAGGCAGCTTTTTACAGTTTTCCAGGAAGAAACAGTCCCAGATGGCCATGCTTGGCATCTATGACTCTCGTCTTTAATTGTCCCAGAGATGGGTCCCAAGGGAAGCCAATTCCTAGGCTACCCAGAGACCTAAACCATGATATGGCCCCCAAAATGAACTATGCCAACTGACTTCTCTGGGTAATGTGATCTGTGAATTATCATGATAGGGAAGCAGCCAGCCACGAGAGCTGAAGCTGAAAGATTGCTCAGAGAAAAGCCATGGAGTAGTTTTAGGCCATGAGGGTCACAACAGACCAAATGAAACTTTCTGAGGAAGCAGAAACTAAGAGTGAGCAGAAGATGCAAGGCAGAGAATGGACAAACAGATTGGCATATGACGAGCCAGTCTGTAGCTCCAAGAAAATAAAAGAGACTCAAAGGAATTTGCAGAGCCACTTTGATGGCAAAGCCCTAGAATGAGAAGCCACACACTCCTGCTGCTGAGGTTCTAGGTGAATGGGTATCTGATTGGTCCTGTCTCCATGAGCCTGACTCAAGCATTTGTTTTCTATGTAAGGCAGGACTGTTGACTTCTCCTGGGTTCCCTAGTATATATCTATGTTAGCCAGAGTTATCTAGAGAAACAGAATCAATATTATATGTATGATTATATATTTGTAAATTTTATATTAGAATATAATTATATATTGTATAATGTTATATATCATGATTATATACATATAGCATGTGTTTTATATATATCTTTATATATGTATTTATCTATTGAGAGAGGTATTTATTTTAAGAAATTGACTCATGATTTTTGGGGAGTTGAAAGTCTTAAATTTGTAGGGCTTGGATTCTTGAAATTCAGGTAAGAGTTGATGTTGCAGTCCTGGGTACAAATTCTGCAGGGCAGCAGGCTGGAAACTCAGTCCCAGGAAGGGTTTCTATGTTACTGTCTTGAGAAGAATCCGTTCTTTGGGAAACCTCCGTTTTTCTTCTTAATACCTTCAACTGATTGAATAAGGCCCATAACATTATGCAGGGTAATCTGTTTTAATCAGTTTACTGATTTAAATATAATTACATCTTAAAAATACCTTCACAGTAATATCTAGACTGGTGTTTGGCTGAACAACTGGGCATCATAGCCTAACCAAGTTGTCACATAAAATTATCTATCACAGGATCCCTACTCAAAATCTCCTGTTGCTTGAGGCGACTCTATTCTCTGTACGTAAGTTTACTCAGCTAGTAAGTGGCAAAGAAGGATTTGAGCCCAGCATTCTGACTCAGAACTTGCGTTTTTAACCACTTAGCACTTAATTCATTTTGTCTTATAATTTGCTGATTGATTTCTTTACTCAGGAACATTTATTGGGGACCTCCTGAATGGTAGTAGGCAAGGTATTAAGTTCTGGGAGATGGAGAGTAAATAACTAAAACATGCAACAATATATTTATTAAATAGAATGAAATATGATTAAAATATGTATTACATATACTGTATATGTTATATGTAAAATATGTCAATGTTATGTTAAATATATTTTAAATATAATTAAAATATAAAATAATTAAAACTGAATATAGGGCACAAAAAATAGAAAAAAAGAATAAATGGAGAACCTACTATTTGATAGTACATAGGGTGACAATAGTCAATAATAACTTAATTATACATTTTAAAATACCTTGAGTATAACTGGACTATTTGTAACTCAAAGGCTAAATGCTTGAGGAGATGGATATCCCATTCTTCATGATGTGCTTATTTCACACTGCTTGCCTGTATCAAAACATCTCATGTACCCCATAAATCTATACACCTACTATGTACCCACAAACATTAAAAATTTTTTTTTAAATCAAATATGATAGATGAAAGTGGAAGTTGCAATGAAGTGGGGCAGCTACTGTGGTTGGCAGGTGGGTTTAGGAAAGGTTGCCAGTAGGCAACATTGAATGTCAGATTTGAGGATGAATTAGCATTCACTAGGCAGGAGGAGAGGATGGCGAGTGGCATAAGGAATGATGGAGGAGAGGATGGCGAGTGGCATAAGGAATGATGCGAAGTGAAAGGCAACACAGGCAGGCAGGGCCAGCAGGTGCAGAAGCACCGAGCCTGAAAGGACAGAGAATGTCTTTTTTAGCTAGATGGAAGTCTCGATTTATGTTCCGTGGAGACAGTGACTTGCATTTCTTTTTTCTTTTTTTTTTTTGAGATGGAGTCTTGCTCTGTTACCCAGGCTAGAGTACAGTGGCATGATCTCGGCTCACTGCAACCTCCGCCTCCTGGGTTAAAGGGATTCTTCCGCCCCAGCCTCACGAGTAGCTGGGACTACAGGTGTGCGCCACCACGCCCGGCTAATTTTTGTATTTTTAGTAGAGACGCGGTTTCACCATATTGGCCAGGCTGGTCTCAAACTCCTGACCTTGTGATCCGCCCGCCCTGGCCTCCCCAAGTGCTGGGATTACAGGCATGAGCCACCGTGCCTGGCCTTGCATTTCCTTTTTACTTTTTTTTTTTAGTATCCCCCAACTCCACCAGCCCTCAGCTACTTGGTTGAGGTCTTGTATATTCTACACTCTTTATTAAAAGCATTGAATATATGAATGAATGAGCAATAAGAAATACTCTATCTTGATAATCAAATTCTCCCATAAGTCTAGCTGCTGCTATCAGAGACCAGAAAACTGAGATCACCGGTTTAACCTGGTATAATAATTCTTGTTCTTTCAAATAATTTTCCTTTGATGATGATATATTAAATTATTAACATTGTCTCTTTCCCTTCTGCATAATCAAGAACTGATTATGACTATGAGCTATGTAGGCAGACAAAGAGCCTGTAGACTATAAAGAAACTTAGGCCCAGGCAATGGGATGTTGCAACTGACTGTGGGCCAACAGCTGCTGCAAACGGCTCCTGCTGGCAGCCTGCAATTAGGAAAGAGGAATCTTGGCGTTCGATTTGAACAGAACCAATGGGCCATCTGGAGGGCCAAAAGGCAAGGGTGAATTGTGTGTGTTAGCAATGTTGCAGGTCATGATTGCTTATCATATAAAGGAGTGTTAATATGGAACAGTGACATGCTCTACAATGTTCTATAGTAAAATAAGCTATTATTGCAGCTTAGTTATTAGAAAGCGTTGACCTGTGAATTCTGTATTTTAAAACTTAGAAGGAAATGAGTAATTGGGTTTAATTTATGTACTGCTTAGAGGCAATCAGTAAGTAAAAATATGTAAGGTTTTTATCCCATATCCCAATAGCTTAGCACATGTAACAAACAGATCTAAGTGTGTATATACATATATACATAAAGTCACTTGTGCACACACATATGCACACACACACTATTGAGACTATGCAGAATAGTGAAAATAACTAGCACTTATCATAACCTTAACTTTGTAGTGAAGAATAGCCCACAGGTTCATATGGGGTTGAAAATTCTACTTATATTAATTTTTTTAGGCACTAAGCTGGCCTGAAAAAAAAGACTTTTGGCTATTTATGAATGCATTTCTTTTACTTTTCTGAGCCACACTTTCTTTAGCAGTAAAATGGAGAACCAAAGTAGCTGATCTAATTCATGAAACGTGTTTTTCAGAGGAGTTCATATATATAAAAGCACTTTGAAAAGTGGAAGTTCTCATAGAAATAGAAGTATAGCTATCATTCATTCATTCATTTATTCAATATGTATTTACTGAGCACCTATTATATGCTAGGGACTATACTAACTGCTGGGGCCTCATTGATGAAAAAGAGAGGTCTATTTGGAGAGGGTGAAGAAAATTGGAAGAGCCTTGTGAGATTTTACATTGCCATTTAATAGGTGTATCATTTCAGATAGGTGTAGAATAGAAGATAATATCTTTTGGGACTATGTCACAAGATGGCTATAAAAATCAAATGGGGTAATTGTTGTAAAATCTAAAAAGTGCTATTCAGCTTTGATCCTGCCAAAGAGAACAAAGAAATTGGAAGAAGATTGAATCATGGAAACTCTTCCAAGCTAAGGTTAGTGATAGAAGAAAAAAAGAGAAAAGGAAGTGAAAATCAGGCAAAGGAGACAGGAAGCAGGAAAACGAGAGGCATTAATACATGGGAAATATAAACTAGTTGTACTAAAAATATTTTTCAGATTTTACCTAGTTTAATATGTTAAACTCTTTGGTCGTATTCCAGCAATATATCCTGCAAAATTTGGATATAAGTAAATTTAAAAAGCCTCTTTGACTCTTATTTTTACATTCTAAATTTAAATTTTAATTAATCTAATTCTAAAGTTGATTTCTATCTTAAAGAAAGGCATGCTCACTCTACAAAAACAGCCTGCATTTGCAATTTATCCTGGACCTGATTTTTCATCTACTTTTCTCAAAAAGGTCTTTGCTCTGAACTTGGAAAAAGGGCAACAATTGTAGCAAAAGGAAGACTCTCTCCCCTTGGCAATAGATGTCTAGTTGTGCATGGGAGCACATGTTATGGCTAAGACTTGACATCGAAGTTTCACATTCCTAAAGAACAATTCTTGCTAGTCAATATCACTTGCATTGGTCTTGTTGAAGGAATTCAGACAAGATTAAATGCTTCATTGATGCAAGGACAAAGGTAAGATAGGAATTCTGGTAAATTCCAGGTAAGAGCAGTATTTTTCGAAGTGCATATGAAAAATTTCTCCTGGCTTTTTATGATTCCCCCAGTCATATTTTTGGTTTAAAAATCTAATCTTGTTTTAAGGCTAAAGGGATATATCGTTACCTTCTGGACAACACATAAAATGTTTAAAGGCAAAAATATTTGATTTTTTTTTCACTCTGTCAGAGAAACTGTCATTCGAATCAACAAAATGAATTAGTTTGACTTTGTATTTGGAAACTTTATAAAAGTAAACAACTTGTTTGTGAGTAGTTTTGCTGATTGTTATCTAGTCATCTTCTTTTGGTTTCTAGCACTTTGGCTAATACGTTATAGTCCTTCTCTTGATGGAAATTAATTGTTATCTAGTTTGATGCATTCATGAATCCCAAAATATTTTGCTGAAATAAAACCTCTGATATTTAGGGCAAGTTTTAATGATGTGTTTTCTTCTGGAATGAGTAACTTTAAAGGAAAAAATGCCAAGTCATAGTCACACTTTCCAAGCATGCATCATTTTTATGACAAATTTTTTTTCTGAGCACGAAGATTTCTTCTTAGAGCAAAAGCTTGCAGGAACAGCGGCATGAGGGCCAAAGCCTCACAACAAGTGGGTTGTCTACAGAAGGAGCAGCTTACCTTACATTTATGCTGCAATCAAGAATAAAGGTAGATAAACTCTTCTTACATCGTCACCTTAGGGAGGAAAAGGACAAATGAATGTTTATTGCTTTGTATCTCTTCTTAAATATTTCACCAGAAAAAGATTCTCCTGGTCAAAGCATCATCGCTAAATTTATCTCCAGAGGGACACTGCTGTTTAATTGAATCTTTGCAAGATTTTACCCTGGTGTTCTAAAAAGAGAAATTACTCAGGGTGATATGTTTTATTATTTTCTTTTGAATAATTCCAGAAATAGTTCATAAAATATTTTGATCAGCTAGTGTTCCAGACCGAGTCTTGGGAGATTAGGTTGTCAAATTAAGACAGAAAGGTTACAGAACCTGGGTCTGTGATGCTTTAACTGTCACTGTGTCAAGTTGAAACGTTGCTGGATGTTATTTATTTCAGAGAATGAAACATGGAATAAATATTGTTTTGCTTATGCTCAGGTTTCTGGTTTTAAAATGAGAGGATAATCTTTTATGGAAAAATTTAAACACATTGAATTAATTACTGAGACATGAGGTAAAGAGGTATATATTTTTTTGCTTCAGTGTATTTTGTTCTGCTAAAAATATACATAACCATTTGGTCTGTTTTTTGCCCCAGTTTTACCTCTGTTTTTGAAACTGATAGAAAAAAACTCATTCCCCTCCAAAATTTCCATATGAGACAAATAATTGGCAGATGTTTATGCTACTCAAAAATAAAGTGATCGATCGCATCTGTGTCACTTTGTGATTTGAAAGAATAAAATAAAAAGCTCTTTGTGTGTATGTGCATGTCTTTTTTCTTCATTATTTTGCATAATTTATTATTTATAATTTTTTTATTTTTTCCCCATTATTTTGTGTAATTTATTATTTATAATTTAAAAACTAAAAATATCAAATATCAATATTGAAATTGGACTTACCTGTTAATTGTTGAGCGATCAACAATTAAATTATCATTATTTTAAAATAAGTTTTTATCATTTCAATTACAGATCTCATTTTTTTTGAGTTGGACAAAGTAAGACAAAAATCTTAATTTCTATGCCCAATGTATATAAGCAGGGTGAACAAAAATTGGTTCTCAAAAAGAATAATTAACCCACTTACTTGTTTCTATTTTATTTACTTTTCTTATTGTAAATTGACAAATTATAGTGTATATTTATGGGGTACAAAGTGAAATTATGATTCATGAGTAAAATGTGGAATAATTAATCAAGTGAATTAACATACCCATCACATCAAATACTTATTTTTTTGTGGTGAGAGCATTCGAAATGTACTTTCAGCGATTTTGAAATGTATAATATAATGTTATTAACTATATTTACCACACTGCAGTGGATTAAGAAAAACTTATTCCTCTTGTCTAACTGTGCCTTTGTACCTTTTGACCATCATCTCCCCATCTCCCCATTCCCATCCTCCAGCCTCTGGTAACCACCATTCTGCTTCTTGCTTTTGTGAATTCTCTATTTGTAGATTCCACGTATAAGTAAGAACATGCTGTGTTTGTCTTTCTGTGCCTGACTTATTTCACTTAGTATCATAATGTTGTCCAATTCCATCCATGTTGTTGCAAATGACAGAATTTCTTTCTTTTTCAAGGATGAATAGTATTCCATTGTGTACCAACTGCAAGTTTAAAAGACGAATCTGCATAGAAAGACAAATATTTTTAAAATGTTTAGTTAAAAATTAATTTCCTGGCCGATCATGGTGGCTCATGCCTATAATCCCAGCACTTTGGGAGGCTGAGGTGGGTGGATCACTTGAGGTCAGGTGTTTGAGACCAGTCCGGCCAGCATGGCAAAACCCATCTCTACTAAAATTACAAAAAATTAGCTAGGCATGGTAGTGTGTGTCTGTAGTCCCAGCTACTTGGAAGGCTGAGGCACATTTGAACCCAGGAGGCAGAGGTTGCAGTGAGCCGAGATAGTGCCACTACACTCCAGCCTGGGCGACAGGAGTGAGAATCTGTCTCAAAAAAATCCAAAAAATTAATTTTCTGCCAAGAATACTGGTCCTACTAAATCTGTTGGTGAAGAACCCCACTCTCCATGGCAAATCAGTTGATAAGGATGGTGACTTGAACTGAGTAGAAGAGGTAGTAAAATGTTAATTACAGTTATTCTTCTGTATTCTCACTTGGATGTCATGAATGGTATAAGACTTTAAGGTGTTAGGGGACCTGAGATATGAATGAACAAAATGAGCAGAAGAAAAATTATGAATTATTTGTTGAGAAGCTTTTAATTTAATCAAAACCACGAGGGTTTTTTCCCCTTGGATCAAGTGCTGAGGACCCCAAAGCAATGTCATTTGGTATGCCATTTTTAGGTAATGGCCTTTCATCTGGACAAGTTGGAACTTTTAAAATGAAATTAGTCCTTCACTTTTGTTATTATTTAGTTAAATGTCAAAGGAATCAAGACCAACAGAACTTTGCCTTTTGCTTTTACATGGCTGAACTTTTATTTTTGATTTGATATTAGAACTTTAGTACTTCAAGTTTGTCTTCTTTGAATGGATATACTGAAATGGAATTGCCTTTCCAAAGAAATTGATGGGTGGTACTAAGGAGGCTACAAGTAATTGGAATTTTCCTATGATATTCACTTTTACTATAATATATTACAAATTTGTTGTAGTTCCTATCCACTATCCTAGAATCAATCTCATTTCCCTTTTTTCACCATTTTCTTTTTGGTTATAGGTTTAAAGAATTTTAATGATCTGGAACTAGCTCCCCAAACTAATGAAATAAATATGTCAAAGGGATTCCTTTTTTCCATCTTAAGTTTTAATAGATGTTCATTTTCTCACCATGCCAAAGGCAATTCTAGTATGGATTCTATTTCATTAGTGTTGAAATATACATCTCTGAAAACTCAAGCTGTGGTACCCTATTGCCTGACTGGTCCTGTTACTAGCAGGGAATTATGTTTTATAACTTTTCTTGATGAAGTTAAATTTATGTTTGGGAAATTAACCAGAAAATTTAAACCAAAAACTTCTTTTATATCTCTCTTCTAAAACTTAGAAATGGAATAATTAAAGATAATTTAGGTTTTATTTCCTACCCTGCCTCTAATTTATCATCCTAAATGAGCCAATCCTTCTACCACATTCTTTTTTTTTTTTAGACGGAGCCTTGCTCGGTCGCCATGCTGGAGTGCAGTGGTGGGATCTGGGCTCACTGCAACCTCCGCCTCCCAGATTCAAGAGATACTCATGCCTCAGCCTCCCGAGTAGCTGGGACTACAGGCGCATGCCACCATGCCCGGCTCATTTTTTGTATGTTTAGTAGAGACAGGGTTTCACCGTGTTGGCCAGGATGGTCTTGAACTCCAGACCTCGTGATCCGCCCGCCTCAGCCTCCCAAAATGCTGGGATTACAGGCGTGAGCCACTGCGCCCAGCCTCCTTCTACCATTTTAAGAGACGTTCTACTCTGGCATGTGGCTTCTGTCCTTCTGTGGACCCTCAGGCCTTGTCATTTCCTGAGTGACTTGGACATCTGCCCAAATGACACAGGCTTCTCAGGGTTTTGACTTACTCGTAACCCTCTTCTGCTCTAACCCTGTTCCTCTTCTTTTTCCATGGCCATACTCTGGCCATGGTACTCCGTACCCATATTTTGGTTACTCAATTATTATATTCAGACATTTACTCTCTGAACATAGCCTCATATCCATCTTACTCTTTGTCTCTTTAGGCTCTCTAGACCCTCAATTACTTTACTTTTTCTTTCTCTGTCACCCACCTTGCATCTTCAATCCATTTCTCAATCTGTTTAGATTTTGTGTTCTATCACTTCAGTCTCTCTTTTGTCACTATCAACTCTTTTGTCCCTATGTAACTTCTTTCACTACTGCTTGACAAAATCCCAGGCCTGGATGAATCCAGACGTCAGTCTTCCACACCTGAGTTTTGCTGATTAGAAAATTTCCCCACCGAATAGACTGGTGCCACCAAAGGCATAATAGGATCAACTGGCTTCTCAGTGCTTTGTGGCCTTGACTCCTTGCCACACCCCAGATTTGGTTAGTTCTTGCCCTGTGAGCTTCCCTACCAACAGCATTGAAATATTGTTTATTCTACTGAATTGTAACTGTTCATTTAATTGTCTGCCAGCACTAGTAGACAGTAAGCTCCATGAGGGCAGGGATGGTGTTGATCTTTCTTTCCCATGGTATCCTCAGCATCTAGTAGAGTGCTTGTCACTCACGAATATGTCTATAAATATCTCTTGCATGAGTGCTATACGTGTATTGAAGGAAGACTATATGGCTAATGTTTGTTAAGTACTTATGTGTTAAGCACTATGCTAAACACCTTACCTTGTTTATCTCATTTACTATTCAAAGCAGCTATATACATTTCTGTTATCTCCATTTTATATATTAGCAACTGAGACTTAGAAGAATTAAATAATTTGCCCAAGCTCACATAGCTAGAAATAGTAAGAGTTAGTATTCAAACTCATTTGCTTCACTCTAAAATCTTTGCATTTTCATTTTTGTTTTTTCTGATCTCTTGAACAATCCCATTGCTATTCTTTTTTATTGATTTTTTTTAACTTCCATAGGTTATTGGGGAAAAGGTGGTGTTTGGTTACATGAGTAAGTTCTTTAGTGGTGATTTGTGAGAGTTTGGTGCACCCATCCCCCGAGCAGTATACATTGCACCCAATTTGTAGTCTTATCCCTCACCCTCTCCAACACTTTCCCCCTGTGTTCCCAAAGTCCATTGTGTCATTCTTATGCCTTTGCATCCTCATGGCTTAGCTCCCACTTATAAGTGAGAACATATGATGTTTGATTTTCCATTCCTGAGTTACTTCACTTAGAATAACCATTGTTATTTTAATATGTATTTGTTTATGAGTTAAGCTTGAAATTTTTAAATTTATTTTTACCTCTATCTCCTCCTCTAAGAAGAATTGCCTGTAAATATACTGTATTATGGTCTTTGTGTATTCTAATAGATTTGTAAATGCTGTTTACATATGAAGGACAGTAACCATTTGTCTCATAGTTGTTATAGATATTTTTCCAGTTGGTAGTCTTTTAGTTCTCCTTATTTTAATAAAAAATTTATCAACCTCTTTCTTTGTAATTACTTTCATTGTTTTTTAGTTTCAAAGATCCCCTCCATAAGACAAATCTCTGTACCTTCCCTTCTACTTTGTAATTTGTTTTAAAAACATATTTAATTACTGTATACAGGATTTATCTCATAAGGGTATGTAGCAAAGCTTCAAATAATTTTTCCCCTAATAGTTTCTCCAGTATAAATTGTTGAATCTTTTTTTATTTCCTATTAATTTCTGACACCTCATACACCATATGGTAAATCCTTACATATACTAGAAACTCTTTTAGGGTCTTTTCCCACACTGTTGATATGCTTGGCATTCACAAGCAAATACAACATTGATTTAAATGTTGTGGTTTTATAGTATGATTTTCAAATCTAATTGAGCAAATTCTTCTAAAACTCTTCTTTCGTAAACTTCCTTAGCCATCCACACTCATTTTGCTTCTACATAAATTTTGAGATAGTTTTGATGAGTTTATTTGTCAAAATTAAATCTACAAACCACCAGTAACTTGGAAAGGATTGAAATGATCACATTTTGAATATTCTCACCCAGGAACATAGAATATATTTCATTTATTTGAGACTCCTAGATGCCCTAGAAAAAGAAGCTGAGGCTTTCTTTATGCACGAGTTTGCACATTCCTTCTTCAAATTACCTTGTATTAGCAGTTCAAATTGTAATGTTAGGCCAGGTGTGGTGGCTCATGCTTGTAATCCCACCACTTTGGGAGGTAAGGCAGGAGGATCACTTATACCCAGGAGATTGAGGTTACATTGAGCTCATGCCATTGCTTTCAAGCCTGGGCATCAGAGTGAGACCCTGTCTCCCTGCCACCAAAAAAAATTGTGTTGTTAATACATGTATGGTAAATTTTGGCCCAGTCTCCAATCTGGTGGGAGATCCTTGGGCAGGAGTGCTGATACTGAAAGTCTGGTGGGAGCTGGCATGACAGTGCTTAGAGGTCTTTTTGGTTTATGGCAGGATCCCAGGAAGTTACTGAATAACAGGGTAATGGGCTGGAAAAGTTATTTGGGGCACCAGTTAAGTGTCTGGGTTTAAGGAAGAGCTCCAACCCCCATAAGAGAAGGGGAAAGTTCAGTCAGATACAGAGTTAGAAGGCCAAGCATAGTGTGCTCAGCAGTAGGGTAGGGTTAGCCCCAGGGAAGGGCACAGCTCAGTTCTGGTTCCCAAGGTTCACCCAGGCATGCTAGATATTGGTTTTCCTATCATGGACTGATCTGAGACCTTATCAACCTCCTCCTCCATCAGTATCAGTTTGGAGAAATAGGTAGTGCTGTGAGTGTAGGTGGGTGGGGTTGGTGAAACTCAGTGGGTGATAGTGGTAGGGTGTTATCAGAGGTGAGGCAAGAGAGGTAATTTGGAGTCAGCCTGTAAAAGGCATTGCCCAAGCCCTTACCTGATAGAGAGAGCTCTTGAAGAGTGTGATCCAATTGTGGAGTCAAATTCAATGGAAACGGAATAAACATGAAACACTCATATTTCTTATTAGTTATAATTTTTTGGTTACATAATTTCACTTATATAAAAGGGATAAGAGGGGACTTTTAAACCAAAGAATTAACTTTTGGTTTGCTCTGCGAGGATTGCACTTTATGAAAATTTTAGACCTAGGCAGTTTTTTTGGTCATGTCATGGCCTCTTGACTCTCTTATGTATGCAAATATTTTTGTTTCAGTACATTCAGGGAAAATAAACTAATTTTAGTATTAGCCTAATCAAAATACAGGAAGGCAGATCTGTTGTAATAACATAATATGGTATAATCCAAAACTTAATATATTTGTATCCTGCTTTAGGCAAATTTAATATGTTAAAAGATTTACATAAAAAATCAATTGGAAGATATTTATTTGTTTTACAAAATTTTCATCATACAATTTCTTTAAAAAAACGATTTCCTCTAGGACATTTAAAATCTGATTTGGTGTACTACTAAATCAGATTGTACATGCACATTTATTCTGATTAATAATCAAGTGGGACTAGTTAATAGGGATAAATACACATTTTTGAGTTTAAGCTTTAAAATGTCTATGTGAGTATGAAGCTGAGTGCTGTGGTTGTAGTAGATCAAGAGGGCAGTTTTGTTCACTGTAGGCTAGGTAGAAGGTGATTGGGTGACCTGGATGTCAAAACATGGGAATCCGATTTGAGCCTCAGTTAATAGAAGTCAAGGGTCCACAATGAGAGCCTCAGATGCTTCATAGACCACATTGGGTACTTTCTGCCCATCCTTAATGGCAGACCTGACAAACTCTGTGCCTATAGAGGCAGGTGTTGTGAATAGAGGTTGATTAGAGGATGCTTGGCTTAGAGAAGAGAAGGAAATGAAGGTTCCATATAATATGTGGTGATTTGCCACATAGAAGCAGACTTGGATTTATTTGTTATTGTTTCAGACTTAGGGTTCAAGGTAGGAATTACAGGGAGGCAGTTTCCCCTTCTTACTGTGTGTCAAGAGGTTTCTTAGGGGCTTCCTCTTGTATGAGGTAAGAGGTAAGCCTGGAGGCTTCTATGGCTTCTCCCACTGACTGATTAGTCCAAATTTATCCCCTCATGTAAGCTTCTCAGCTATTATTATTTGTTAGTTATACTTATATATCCCTTATTATGTACCTGGCAGTGTTCTAAGCACTGTACAATTCCAACTCATTTCACTCTTATTTTAACAACCCTACAAGTTAGCTATTTTCTGCATCTTGTAGATGTGGATACTGAGGCACAGAGATGTTAAGTTACTCGCCAAATTAACACAGTAAGAGCCAGAATCCACACCCAAGCTGTCTGCTCTTTATTTTAGAAATATGTATTTTAAAGATTACATTATGCTTGAATTATGTATGTGATTGCACCATTCTTGGTACATTATTGAGCTGTGTCTGCAAATGACTTGTTTTTATTCTTATGATTATTTAAAATTTTTCTTATCTGGGAAGAGTTTCTGATTTACCTGGATTCATATATGGATGTTTTGCTAGAAAACAAATTAAAATGTTGCATTTTGCTCCCTGTGGCCTAAATAATTTTCAAATAGTAATTTGGATGATTTGAAATTTAAACTTTTTCAGCTCGAGCCCCTCCTACTTGGAAATTCCAGTGAAGTTTTTTTTTTTTTTTTTTTTTTTTAAAGAAAAATGCTGTCTTTCACAATTGCTTCCTTCACAATCCATGTGATTCCTTTACAATGGCAGGATCTTATGTTGTGCCAGTGGCTTGGAATAACTTTTTTTTTTTCCCCACCAAGTTTTAACTCTGTCACGGGTAATCTCAATACTGGAGAGTATAAGGCTTATTAAACACAGAATGGTGTTTGCTGTTCCTTTGGCTCACAACCTCAAAAGCCTCATCTGTTAGCAGACAGCTGGAACACACCCATCACAGCCTCTCCAGTGTTTGTGTTACTAGTTCATGAAGCAGAAAATAAGACAGGTTCTGTATCTTTTAAAACATTTCCCCCCAAACACTAGTTAATCCTCTGACTTTCAAAGGCCAACAAAATTCATCTTTCTGCTGGTGGCAGAATATAGTTTTTTTCCCCCAGACTAATGTAGATGCTGTTTTACTGACATTATGGTTTAACCCATATGACTATAATTTTTTATATGATATTAAACATTTTCAGAATATGGGCTAATTTTATGAAGAAAAATAAAATTATCAATCACCTAATTCAAGCCCCAATTTTTCCTTTTTTAACAAAAATGGGTAAATAATTTTAGATCTGAGGAATTGTTATCTTAAATAAGTCCATAGGCAATTTAAAATATGTTCATAATGTATTCATTTAAGTGAACGATTTGATTGTCTAAATAACAATAACACAAAATAATAAATGGAAACACTATTCAAAGATGGCGCAGCCTTTACCAGTGTTGTTGGGTATGGAGCGGAACAGACTTCAACAGAGAGCAGGCAGGGATGAAGGACTGAGTGGGCAGGAGGGCTTTTTGAGAACCGGTGGAGACTAAGGTAGTAAAACTGACAAGGTAGAGACAGGCAAGTGGTTAATTTGTCTTTAATGGGAAGATGAATGTCCCTACTCCTGGTGACACTGAAAAGGAATCTTGTGATGTTTGTGTTGGGGTATTTAGTAGCACCAGTAACAGGTACCCTGGTTCTGTATCACCCAGAATGTGGCTGCTTGGAAGGCAAGAAATGAAGAGCCTGCAGCATAAATAGCTGGAAGTGAGATTAGCACTTGGGAGCAAGCAGAAGGTATGGGGAAGAGCTGGAAGGAAAGGCTGCCTGGATATTCCCAAGTTTTGACTTATGCAAGGAGAGGTGGAAGACTGAAAATAGCAACAGGAGCACACCAAGGAACTCGTTATACCCTGGGAAAAGAAAGCAGGCACAAGTGATAATGGGTAAACATGAGCTCTGCAGACAGGTGTCTCTCGGGCAGTCTCAACAGCAATGTAGTCTATAAATGTATCAGCCAGGTAGGCTTTTGGCTGTATGTGTTAGAAAACCTGAATTCAAAGGGGGTTGTTTTTCATAGAGGATGCAAAATATGTAGGTGGGTTGTTGTTGGCACTGATTCAGGGACTCAGCAATGCTAGCACCAAGGTCTCTGATTCTTTGGAGGTTTCCTTCATGGCCACAGGAATGGTCTCACAGCCCAGGCATCATTTCTGCAGGAGGAAGAGAGATGTCTTTTCTGGCTGAACTGTGTCACTTGCCATTCCTAGCTGGAAGGGGAACTAGGGAAGAGGCTGGAAGTGGGGTCGGATCATTCAAGCAACAGAGTTTGCCACAGCATTCTTTTCTGATAACTAACCCTTGTAATATAATCTCTTGGGAAGCTTCCCCTTCCCTCTATATTTCAAACATCAAACATTCCCAGAAGTGCTGGAAAAGGAGGGTGTGTGTGTGTGTATGTGTGTTTTTTTGTGTGTGGGTGTGTGTGTGTGTGTGTGTGTATGAACTACTCTGTGATTCCATGAAATTATTCCTTGAGAATTACTGGAATTAATAGACTTAATTATTATCATGGTGCCTTATAATAATGATGATAATGATATTAAAAATGCTAGCACATATGGTTTCCTATGTGCCCAACTCTGATTTACATGCTGCATATAAATTACTTAAAATAATCTTATCAACCTTACATTATGAGATAGGAACTACTATTATTATTCCCATTTTACACATTGGGCAGCTGAGACTTTTCTTTTTCTTTCTTTTTTTTTTTTAGATGGAGTCTCTCTCCGTCGCCCAGGTTGGAGTGCGCACAATCTTGGCTCATTGCAACCTCCGCCTTCTGGGTTCAAGCAATTCTCCCACCTCAGCCTGCCAGGTAGCTGGTATTATGGGCATGTGCCACTACGAATGGCTAATTTTTGTATTTTTAATAGAGACGGGCATGTTGGCATTTTGACTAGGCTGGTCTCGAACTTCTGGCCCCAAGTGATCTGCCCACCTCGGCCTCCCAAAATGCTGGGATGACATGCGTGAGCCACTGCATCTGGCAGAGACTTTTCAATGATTAAATCACCTATCCAAAGTCATCTCACTAGCAAGTGGGGAGACCAGGAGTTTCACCTTGCAGTCTGGCCCAGTCTCCTCATTATTTTGCTCTGCAACTTCTTCTGTTTCTTTTTCTTTCTTTCTTTCTTTCTTTTTCTTTCTTTCTTTCTTTCTTTCTTTCTTTCTTTCTTTCTTTCTTTCTTTCTTTCTTTCTTTCTTTCTTTCTTCTTTCTTTCTTTCTTTTCTGGGCAACCAAATCACAATATATACATTTATTTATTTATAAAATATATTTTATTATGTATATGGAAGGTATACAATACGATGTTATAAGATACATATATATAGTAAAATGGCTACTATAGTGGAATAAATTAACTAACATCTCCCCCAACTCACATAGTTACCCACATTTTCCCCCTGTGGCAAGAGCAGCTATAGTTTACTCATTTAGCAAAGATCTTGACTACAATACACAACTATTAACTATAGTCTTCATGCTGTACATTAGATCTTTCAACCTATTTCTTACATATTTAGTACTTTGTATCCTTTGACCTACATCTCCCCATTTCCCCACCACATGAAGACCCTGGTAACCATTGTTTTATTCTCTAGCTTTGTGTGTGTGTATGTACACACATACATATACATCTATCTATCTGTCTGTCTGTCTGTCTATCTATCTATCTATCTATCTATCTATCTATCTATCTATCTATCTATGTGGAGAGAGAGACAGGGCCTGGCTTTTTCACCTAGGCTGGAGTGCATTGGTTTGATCTCGGCTCACCACAACCTCTGCCTCCCGGGCTCAAGGGATCCTCCCGCCTCAGCCTCCCAAATAGCTGGGACTACAGATGCGTGCCACTATGCCCAGCTATTTTTTTCTGTTTTTGGTAGGGTCAGGGTCTTGCTATGTTACCCAGGCTGGTCTCAACTCCTGGGCTCAAGTGATCCACCTTCCTCAGCCTCCCAATCTGCTGGATTTACAGTTGTGAGCCACCGCACCTGGCCTATCTTTGTATATTTGACCTTCTGTTTTTACATTCCACATATAAGTGAGATCAAATTTTTTTTCTGTATCTGCCTTATTTCGCTTAGTATAATGTCCTCCAGGTCCTTCTGTGTTGTGGCAAATGACAGAATCTCCTTTTTAAATCTTTTTCTTTTTAAACTGTTATACTTACTTCTTTAGCATTTTTCTAAGTTTTATCATCATTATGATTTTTCCTAATGATTAATTATAAAGTCCTGCAAAAACTAGAAATAACATAAATATGGACATTTATTTGTCCTGTCTCTAACAAATAATATCACTGCTAGGCAAATCATACCTGGACAGGTGAGATGGAAGGATGAGACGCTGCATCCAAATATGGTGAAGTTGGCAGGAGAGAGTTGCCTTAATCAGTTTCATTCATCTTGAAAAGTCCAAGTCCAGTACAGATTAGAAGCCATTAGGTAAAGCAGCATGCATGGTTCACTAACTCAAAAGGCAGACAGTTGAATTATTCCAGCTATATATAACTTTAGGTATAATTTATTTTGTCACCTACCTGAACCAAACAGAATTACTTCCTGCTAGTGTTTTTCTTCTGTGTTAATGGTTTTGAACATCTAGACTAAATAATTTAGTTTTTATACTGAGATAAAATTTCAGAAAATGCCAATATTCAAACCAACCAGCTTTAATCTATCAAAATTGAATAAAAATCTGTGTGAGTATGTGAGTGTGCATAAAGCAAGTATACAAGTATAAAGCAAATAACTGAACTGGCTGTTTGCAAATTTAAAAATATGTTAAATATTTTAAATTAAAATATAATGAATAAAGACATTATCAACACATAAACTTGCCTGACATGATGAGCTACAATTGCAGAAAAGGTATGGTTTGCTGGAAAGAGAAGTTGGACGAGTGAGAATGAGGCCCATGTCCGCCACTGGCCTTTGATTCCACAGCCCTTTAAATGCTCTTTTCATTTTACGATTATACGTTGGTAACACTGTGCTATTTGTCCTGTGGTATGCTTCATTGCTTTCAAAAGGACGGATCCAGGTCGACAGTTTTGTTGGGCGTTTGGAATCAGAAAATAGAATCTTGGCTGGATTTATCTCAGAGATCATTTCTTCTAACACCCGGCTGTAGACATGACCCATGGAATGTTTGAATCAGTGTATACATAGCTATGTTGACTACAATTTTATGGCATTTAATGTTCTGGTTTGTGTAGAATCTAAGTTGTTCTTAACTTTGCATATCAGATCTTGGAAACTGCATTAAATCTTTCAAGCCTAGACATTCTCCATTTGCCTTTAGGATAAAGTCCAAGGTCTTTTGCATCTAAGCTTATCAACTAGCAAGCAGTCACCCCTGTGGAAGAAACCTCATCACGTCCTACCTCCTACAATGTGGAGTTATCACAGGTTCCTTCCATATACCGTGATTTCAGTTACTTCGCCCCTTTCTTTGCATGCTTCCCTCAAGCTGGAGTATTGATTCTTCACCTTTCACTTGGCTAACTTCTTTGCCAACTCTAAGGCTCAGTGTAGGCATCACCACCTCCACAGGGGTCTCCTTGATTGCCTCAGGTTGTGTTAGGCAGCTCTTGCTTATTTTCCATCAATACCGTGTGTATTACATGGTACTCTAGTACTGTATCAATTAAAGAACAGTACTCTAGTACTGTATTAATTAAAGAACAGCACTGTAGTACTGTATATTCATTGCATTGCATTCAAATAACCTGCTTAGGTCTCCTCCTACGGAGGCAAAGACAGTGTCTTACTCATTTTCATATTTTCAAGGCTTACTACAGGATACATAGTTAATTCTCAATAAATATGAGCTCTATGAAAAAAATAAGAAAGGAGTTAGAAAAAACACCCATGAATATTCCTGTTGCAATACATGGGGTCATTCTATCCAGGAGTGGAATGGAATGAGTTCTGGGACTGCCCATACCCTAATAGAGACAATCCTAGTCAGGAGGCCTATATGACTTTCTTTGGACGTCACAGGCCTGGGGTTGGCTGCTAATGCACTTTGGCCAGTGGCAGTTAGTAGTTAAGGGGTTTCTATTTGATTAGCTGTCCTAAGTAACGATGATATGAAATGTTTCTACTTACACTGTTAGTTGATACCTGATATTATGTTGTCTTGCTTTCATTTTTGATAATTATTTTCTCTAGTTATCTAAAATAGCCCAGTATCTATTTATACAGTATATTACTTTCCAACTCATGTGTCTAGCATATTGGAAGCTTTAATACCAGCTAGCTTAGAGGTTGTAAATTTTTTACTGGTATCTAGATACAGATTTATAGGTTTTATGTGTTGTATAGTTTGCCATCAGAGATCTGAGTCAAAACCAAACACCAAATGTTTGTTGAGTCTATTATGTGCAAAGCTCCGTGGCAGGTACAAAGGTAGGTAAACGATGGATAAGTGGAAGAGAGAAGGCGTAAGTATTTGAAAAGTTAAGGGCAAAATAAGGGCTAAACAATAAAACACAAACAGCCATCATTTTGACAAATGTACGGATAAGCGCTATAAAATTATAAGCAGGCAAGACCACTGTGGGCTGGAGAGATCTAGGGAGGTTTTGGAGAGGAGAGGCTCTGTTGGGATTTTGAGAAATGAGAATGCTGCCTTCAGGCAGAGAGGACGGGAGAGAGCTTTGCAGAAGGTGGGCAAGCGTGTCGAGGAGAGCCCAAGCCTAGAAGCTGGAGGTGGACCTGTTTTGTGGGAGCAGGGCATCCACAGAGAGAAATTCAGTGGAAAATAAGGGCTAAGGCCACAAAAAGAGAGCCTTTAAAGAGGTTATTCTAACAGTAAGATTCGTAAAAGCAGTTTACTGGGTACTGCTTCTCAAACTTGAATGCAGCCGTGGGTTCTCTTTGGACCTGGTTAAAAATGCAGATTTCAATTTAGTTGGTCTGGACTGGGGCCATATATTCTGGATGTCTAAGATGTTGCTAGCGCCAGGACCTCACCTTGAATAGGAAGAGATGGAGGACTATGAGAAAAACGGTGAAGATCTGATTGGAAAACATGGTTAGTGACATTCTTGTTATATAACTGACTATTTCAAGGTTTTACACAGCACTTTGGAGGCATTGAAGAGTTATAGTTTTAAAAGGTGCATAATATTCAACCAGCGAGTCACATGGACAAAGTCTATGTTCAGTAGGTAGTGATGCAGGTCCACAGAGCTGTCCTGGAAGAAAAAAAATTGGGTTGGCTTTCATAAAATATCGTTATAAATTATATTTTATCAAAATGACACAACTTTAAAAATCTGGAGAAATTACTTGTTTAAATTAGATGGGGGTCACTTCTTTAGTATTTGTGTCTGTCCAGTCATTATTGGGTGAGAATTTTTTTTTGGCATATGAAAGGGGGTGCAGCACTGCATTTCTTGGATTAGATCAATGATTCATAACCCTGACTGCGCCTTTAAACCACCTTTGGAGTGTAAAAAAAAAAATACTGCTCTACCTCAGACCAATTAAATCAGAATATCTGGGGCTGGTGCCCGGCGCGGGGGTTAGTCTTTTTAAAGGCTTGCAGGTGATTCAAATGTACATCCACGATTGAGATTCACTGGTTGATCGATTAGATTGTTTAACACTGAATTAAAGTGCTGGCGGTTTTGACTCATAGATACTGTGGGCTTGACAGGAGTGAAACTGTGGGTTTGGTTGGTGCTGAGAGTCAGTCTGTGATCCTGGAGGCAGAATCACCGGGACCCGCTTTCAAGAGGTTCTGGGAGGAAGCTGCAAACCGACGGAGGTGGTATCGGAGGTGTGCTAGAGACTGGAAGTTCTGGTAACTAGGGAAGCAGGCAAGGTAACCAGAGACATGGATGTGGGAGCAGTTGCTAGGGAGAGGCAACAGCATCCTGCCAGATGGTGCCTGACATCTCCACGGCATGGAACTCTTTTTTAACAGACTGAGCTTGTTCTTGCAGCACAGGGTCTTAGAACTGCCGTCCGGGGAAGGCAGTTCAGAGCCCAAGAGCCCTTTGAAATGGACAGGCTTTGGTGGCTACCGAAGCAAGGACTGTGACCAGAAGGCAACACGAAACTGGAGTCTGTGAGCAGACAACATAGAGAAGCTTCCAACAGATTCCACGAAGTGGGAGAGTATGCTAAAACAGAAGACATCAAATACAACTTCATACACTTTCTAGTCCTCCACTGTGGTGCTCAGACACTCTGCATCTGAGGCTGTGCCAGTCCGTAGTCATTCATAAAGCACAGATCCTGCCATCCAGATCCTTGCCATACGAGCCAATGGTGTCTTGCCATTGCCAAAGATGTTTCTTAGGCTTTAATGAGCTTCCTAATGGAACACGCCAAGCCCAGTGACTTTGATTCTGAAAGAGGTCTTTGGAAACAAAATGAAACGAGGTGGCTTAATTTAAATCTTTATTTTTTAGCTGTAAAACTCTCATAAGAAATAAATTCTTACCTTTTTCCAAGGACTTACGGTGGCAAACATTTGAAAATATCACATCTCCTGGCACCAACACCCTTGAAGTGAACTTGAGGGCCCAGCCCCAATTTCAGGCTGCATCTGTAAGGGTGGTAATGATTACTTGGGCCCTATTGAAATAAGAGGAATACAGTTGCTATGGAGAAGGTTTAACATGTTGGTTCCTCTCTGGGATTCCAAGTATAACAAACAAACAGGCAGAAAGATAAAAGAGCTTTCCAGGCTGTGGAGGGGTCAGGAAAACAGAAATTGTTATCTGCTTTTGAGATTGAAACAGGCAAACAGGGGACCATTCTTATTCTTGGCAAAAGGCTCTCACTCGTAAAATAGGTTTTTCTCAGAGATCCATCTGAACCCTCCTAACATGGGACCTTAGATCTGACAGCTTCTGGGGCAGAAGAAATATCTGCGAGACTGGTGTGGTGGAACGGCCGTGGCTGGGAGCTGAGTTGCAGCCGGCCACCTCCGTTCATTCCCTGCCTTCTTCCTGGAATGTGTAGGAGGACACATGAGGCTTGGACCGGGTCACAAACACAGGCCTGCCAGGAGCTGGGATGGAACATTTAGGTTTCAGCGGGAGAGGCCAGTTTTCATGCAACTTTTTAAGTTTGAGATGATAAATGGGTAAGGACTTGTCAAACCATTAACCTTTAACTTTGCTGTTAAATATAAAGCAAACTATCAACTTCATAGTTCCTGGTTGGGAAGCCTTGGCTTTTTTTTTTTTTTTTTTTTTTTTTTTTTTTTTAGAAAACTTCCTGCAACTGGGAAGAGCAAAACCACTTACAACAATAATTTGCTAAATGTTTCAGAGGTTAGAATCAATTGCTATTTTAAAAAAACTAGTTCTTCCACCATGCGGGCCCAGACAAAGCCAGACTGCAGTGGACATCTGTTGTCATAACTCTTCCTTCTACTTTTATTAAAACGTCCCTAACTTTCCTTATTAAAATACAGTATCTGGAATCGGGTAGGAATGACTGATAGGAGTTTGAAGTGTTCTCTCTACAGGGAGCTCTTTTAACAGGAATCAAAATCTCATGCCATAGGGTTAATTCCAAATCTGACAAAGGAGGGGTTCTAGCTAGGCTGGCTCCCCATTCCTATGAGTTAAAATACTCCAATACTCCAAAAAGGACATGCAGGGGTGGGGCAGCATGATCCATTCCCACTGTTTGTGTGAGTGCCAGAGTTCTGTGGGGAATGGTGCCACTCCCCTTTCCCTTTTTGTGCCAGTGGTGATCTGCCTTCCTTTCCACCTGAAGTCCTCTGAGAGATTGGGATCTTTCATGTTGACAAGTTCAGCAATTCTTCTCTACCTAAAGCAAGGGGATGGAGCCCTGAGACACTTTGAGGAAAGAGTCCCTCTGGGGCTTCAGGGAGTGTATAAAGCACTGAAATTGCATGCAAATCTTTTTGCTTATTTACAAAGAGGATTGATAGCTTTCCTCAGATTCTCAAAAGTCTCTGCAACACCCTCCACACCTGCCCTCTACCCCCTACCAACATCACAGATGCTCCATGATGGCATTTCAGGTAGCAGGCAGCAGGTGGAAGAAATTACTTGAAGTCTCTGGGGCCTTCCTGGTGCACAGCTCACATGGGTCAACGGTCAGGTCCTGCTAGTGCTTGTCAATGTACAGTCATCCATTAATGTCTTCCTACGGTGGTTTTCTGTTGAATGTAGACTCAGCATGAACACTGTGAACCTCTTAATTGAGCCTCACCGTAGCTCTGGGAATCCCAAGATTGATATCTGAATTGTTCAGCACTCTTTCAGTTGCAAGTTAATTTAAATAGAAGGGCATATTTACTGGCTCTCATAAGTGAGATATTTTGGAGGAAGACATGGAGTTCAGGGGTGAGTCAGCCAGTGTCATCAAGAATCACTTTCTCTCTCAAACACAAAGATGGCTACCAAGACTGCAGGCTTTTATTCAGCTGGTTTAGTAGCCACAAAGTAAAGACTTTCCTTCCTTTGGTTTTTTTCTTTCTTTGGTCCTCCCTCCCCTCCCCCTCCCCTCTCCCCTCCTTCCTTTCTCCTCCCCTTCTCCCTTCCCTGCCTCCCCCCTCCCCTCCCTTCCCCTCCACTCTCCTCCCTTCCCCTCCACTCTCCTCCCTTCCCCTCCCCTCCTTCCCTCCCTTCTCCTCCCCTCCCCTCCTTCCCTCCCTTCCCCTCTCCTCCCCTTCTTTCTTCCTTCCTTCCCCCTTTCCCCCTCCCCTTCCCTCCCTTCCCCTCCCCTTCTTTCTTCCTTCCTTCCTTCCCTCCTTCCCTCCTTCCCTCCTTCCCTCCCTTCCCTTCTCCTCCCCTCCTTCCCTCCCTTCCCCTCCCCTCCCCTCCCCTTCTTCCTTCCTTTCTTCCTTCCTTCCTTCCTTCCCCCCTCCCCCTTCCCTCTTCCCTCCTTCCTTCCCTCTGTCCATCCTTCCATCTGATAGCTCTACGGTATGTCCTATGCTGGAGAACACTTTCTGTCAGCGACATTCCCTTGCATGAGCCCTTCACTATGGCCTGGCGAGTGAGGTGTTCTGATTGGTCAGGCTGTGGTGACATGCCCACTTCTGGAGTTGGAAGGAGTTGGTTAACTTTTCCTGAAATATATGGACTGAGAAGTGGGAAAGAGGTAGTTTCAGAAAAGGAAACTATATTGCTGTTAACAAAAAAAAAAAAAAAAAAAAAAAAGGGAAAGGATGCTGGGCAGGCAGAAGTAATTTATATCTGCCTCTATATGCTTCTGATTCAGGTACCTTCACCATTTTAGAGATGGAATGGATCTTAGAACATCTTATAGTTGAGGGACTTGTGACTCCCTGAAGTTGTATGAAAAAATGGTCAGGCAGATGCTTAATATGCGCCTAGAGGCAGAGCACCTTTGCCTTCACCAGCTTCACACAGTGCATTTGACAAAATCAGCTAATAACCACTGACTGACTTCTTTCATTTTTCAGATGAGGAAACCAAGGGCTCAGAAAGCCTAAATGGCTTGCTTGAGGAGACACCATCTAGCATTCGTCTACAACCCCAGGGTTTGCAGAAGACCCTGGTCACCAGATACTCAGTTAAACTCAGTCTTCTCTGATCATTTGGGATAGGTGCACAGTATCTATGCCCTGGAGATTCACAATGCATTTATGTATGTTAGAAATTCTGAGAAAATTATCCTAAAGAAATCTACTTAATTCTGTTTAACCCAGAAACCTATTTGAATACCTTTTTCATGAACTACCTGTATCATACTTTGGGAAACTGTGTGCTAGCACTTTGCCTTTCCTTTAGGCTATAGGGTGTCCCGTGGGTCCAGGTCAGGAATCCAGGACACCTAATTTACAGTGCCCTGTGCTCCCTATGTATCTGGTTCAGTTTCAGAGATTCCGGGACGCAGTGGCTTTCTAGTTTATGGAAGCTTTGTCCCACTGTACTCTCCTGCCTTTACCATGCCTCATCGGCCACAGCAAAGCAGTTAAAGGAATGCTTCCAGCTCCACCAGGGAGAGAAACGAGGGCCACAATTCAGTGCCAGGGGCCTACTTGGGACTTGGTAAGCGCTATGTGCCTGGAGCGCTCGTGTAGTGGGCAAGGTTAGTTTTGCTCTCAGTTCCTTTTGGGGCCACTGCCAGGCCCCTTCCCTTTGGTATCACCCCACCCAGCTGTCAGTTGCAGTTCTCCAGACCTTTCTTGTCTCTCATTACTTGTGAGTTTTCTCAGTCAACAACAACAATAGCAGCAGCAATAACAATAGCAGCCAATGCTGACTGGGAGCTTACTATAGGCTAGGAACTGTTCTAAGCATTATAGATGTGTTAACTCCTTTAGTCTTCAAAGCAACATAATGCTTTAGGTACTTATTTGTTCCCATTTTACAGAAGCAGATTCATATCACATTTTATGCCCAGGGATTTGCACAGCTCTGAGGATACAGCAGAGAACACAGCAAACATATGACTATAGCTGGATTTATTCCCCTGGGGGCATTTGTCTAAGGTGACCACCAGTGAATATACTATCCCAGTGCCTGTGCATATATTAGTGGGCACTGGCAGTGTGCTTCTCCCCCGAAGAGCTTTGTTTTCATCAATTGTCTTGGGAAGACAGATGTCTTGAACTTAAGAATGATCCTAATGATCCTAATTTTAGGCCCTGAGGGCATGATGGGGAGGTGACTTTGGACTAGGGAATCTTTTATCCCCGCTTAAAGCAGACCATTCAGGTAACTGTCTACCGTGGGCCTGCCTCTCACATGCCATCCATCTCTTCCTTTTTTCTTCTTAAGAGAAACAAAGATGCTTACAGTAGGGACGGGAGAGAGAGAGAGAGAGAGAGGAGGAAAATGCTCATGAATCTATTTTTGCCATGACTTTTGGCCTATGAGAAAACGTACGCACTCCTTTCAGTTTCCTAGTTTTTCATGGTTGTGTTTCTGCACACGCGTGTCCCCTGTCTATGCTCCTTGCCTGTGCTCTTCTTGTTCCACAGAGGAGCCCAGTGCCCTCATGTTACCCTGACCCCTGCAGTTCATATGAAAGTGTTAGTGGCAAAATGTATTCCCTTTCCCAAAAGTTCCTACATTTCAAATAAGCACTTGGGCTTCAGCATGGGAATGTGGGGGGTGGGGACTTTGTTCAGATGAACTGGAATGTTTTTCTCACTGTCTCTGCCATTTTTTATAGATTGTTCATGTTTGGCAGAGTCTAGAGATTTTAATGCAGCTGCTATGTGGTTGTGAGTCTTTAGGCTCAGAAATCAGATGAAGAAGGGAGGGGAAGAGAAGGGCATCTGGTAAGTGCAGGACTGGCAGTGATTGGCTGGGGTCGGTGGGGGCTGGGGGCAGAGGCAGTCACCAATGGCCAGTCCCAGAATAGGGGGAGGCAGAGGAGACTTGGAAGGTCTCTAAGTTGCGTGACCTATATAGGCATATTTTAAGCCATATTGTTGAAACTAACAAGGCAGACAGTGTCCTTTAAATAGCTAACTGATAGTTCACTATGGAGGAAAGTGGCTAGGTTGCTACTCTGGGCAGAAAACTAAGGAAACATATTATGAATTGAATTGTGTTCCCCCTGCCACGCCCCCAAAAAAGATATATTGAGGTCTTAACCTCGTAGTACCTCAGAATATGACCTTATTTTGAAATAGAGTCTTCAGAGAGTGAACCAGGTTAAAATGAGATTAAGAGGGTGGCTAAACCAATCTGACTGCTGTTCTTATAGAAAGAGGAACTATGGACACAGAGACAGATGAGCACAGAGGGAAGGTGATGTGAAGAGACACAGGAGGATGCCACGTGAAGGTGGGGGTAGAGATTAGAGCGATGCGGCCCCGGGTCAAGGAATTTCCGAGCTGCAAAAGCTGAGAGAAGTAAGGAAAGATTCTTTCTCTATAGCAGGGGTCCCCAACTCCCGGGCCACTGGCTAGTACTGGCCGTGGCCTATTAGGAACTGGGCTGCACAGTGCGAGGTGAGTGGCAGGTGAGCGAGTGAGTGAAGCTTCATCTGTTAAGTACAGCCACCTCCCATCACTCACATTGCCGCCTGAGCTCTGCCTCCTGTCAGATCTGCCCTGGCATTAGATTCTCATAGGAGCGAGAACCCTATTGTGAACTGCGCATGCGAGGGATCTAGGTTGAGTCCTGCCTATGAGAATCTAATGCCTGATGATCTGTCACTGTCTCTCATCACCCCGAGATGGAACCATCTAGTTGCAGGGAAATAAGCTCAAGGCTCCCACTGATCCTACATTATGGTGAGTTGTATAATTATTTTATTACATATTACAATGTAGTAATAATAGAAATAAAGTGCACAATAAATATAATGTGCTTGAATCATCCCAAAACCATCCACCCTTTTCTGGCCCATAGAAAAATTATCTTCCTTGGAATTGGTCCCTGGTGCCAAAAAGGTTGGGGACTGCTGCTCTATAGGTTTTAGAGCAAGCCCGGCCAAGCTGACCCCTTGATTTTGAACTTCTGGCCTCCAGAACTGTGAGACAATAGATTCCTCTTGTTCTAAGTCACCCAGATAGTGGCACTTTGTTGCAGCAGTGCCACCTAGCCTAGTGCAGCTAGGAAACCAATATAAGGAAAGAAGGTAATTACATTTGCTAAGACTTCCTAGGTGCCAGGCACCATGAGAAGGGCTTTGCATATTCAGTGCTTCCTTTTATCATCATGACAGCCCAGGGAGGTAGGCATTGTTAGGAGGTTAAGCAACTGCTCAGGGCACATAATGAGTACACAGCAGATCCTGAGGTTTTAAATCAAAGCCTGAGTTTCCTGAGCTCCTCTCAGCACATTCCCCACACTGCAGCAATCCATGCCCTGGGTGGTGGTAATGGAATTGATGGTTGACCTGGGAAGTTTTCAATGTGGGGCTACCCTGGGAATTTCATCTGAGACCTTATTTCTTAATCATTGCAATGCTCACCAACCTCTTCTGTGTTAATCTCAAATTGTCACCCTCTGCTCTGTGACTCCAGTTTGAAATTTCTGTTGTGTCTCATTCCAGTTTTCCACATCTACCTCCCTCCATCTCTCTGGAGTTAGTATCTCCTGAATCAGTTCCTAGCCTGGCTCAGGCCACATGAATTTCAGGCATTGTTTAGGAAAACAGAATTTGATTTGGGTGTCTCTAATGGCTTTGTCATTCCTTGTACTAATATTTAAACTTCTAAGGGTCTAATTTCAGTTATAGGAAAGTCTAACCTAGGATGGAATGACTTTGGATCATCAGCCTCATTATTGTCATCAGAAAGAATTGGTTTACTGCATTGAGCCTGGTTCTTTTCTGGGAATGGAGTATAGCAAGTTAAATAGGTATGACCCTCATCTGCATACATATTTCCATGACTAGACTTTACATTACACAAATAATTTAAAGTAGACTAAAGAAAGTATACACACAATAAAATAGTGAAACCTAAATTTTGAAAATAATAGAGCCAAGAGGTAAAGCATATTTGAGTAGACGTCCAGGTCGGAAGGAAATAGAAAATGCACATACGCTAAGTGTATCAAAGGGCTGAGATCCAGACCTTGTTGGAGAGGATATAGCTGTGGCTGACTGGATGGCAGACAAGTCCCTGTGATACTGTGCTGACAAAATTATCTAGAAATTAGCCCTCAGGAACTTGATAGTTCCTGTCCAGGGTGTTGGAGACAGCTGTTCACAAGGAGGTATCTCACCAGAGGAACTCTGCTACAAATCTGCCCAAGGGGGTTGTTGGGGGTACTGCTGGCTGCTGGGTGATGTTGGCCACTGTACCTTGTGGGAGCTGAGCCCTGGAGAAGCTGCTCCACTGCAGGTGCTGGGCTCTGGGAAGCCACATGTGTTGTGCTGTGTTGTAGGAGGAGCCTGGAGAAGCTATGAAGTCTAAAGGAGCCTGGAGGCCATGCAGCAGAACCAGGAAACTAAATACTTTCCTTCTGTGATGCTTCTCCAGAGCCCTCTACTGACAGAGTTTAACATCGTACCAGATGACAAAGGAAAAACACTTAAAGGGCCCTAGCTTCATCCATGTCCCTGCAAAGGACATGATCTTGTTCCTTTTTATGGCTGCGTAGTATTCCATGGTGTATATGTACCATATTTTCTTTATCCAGTCTATCATTGATGGGCATTTGGGTTGATTCCATCAGACAGAAGTATTAATAAGCTTTCTTCCATTGAACCATTCTCCGTATTAAAATAAAATGTTTTGTGAAAATTTGCTTTAAGAATTTTAGAATATACCCTTTCTGTAGATCATGATTAAGTTTGCATTATAAAATGGACATGTCTCAGTAACTAGCTAGTGGTTAAGAGCACTGTCTCTGAAGCTAGTCTGCCTGGGTTCAAATCCTGGGTCTGTCCCTTATTCTGTGTGCCCTCAGTTGAGTTACACAGGCTTCCTATCTGCAAAATGAGAATAATGACATTCACTTGATGGAGTAGTCATAAGGATTTATAGGTCTCAGAAGGTACCCAACACATCATCAACACTATTCAGATAAAAACCAGTGCTTCCAGATTAGTGAGAGAAGCTGAAGGGTCATATCTGTTTCTGCCAGCGTGTTTGCTTGAAGAATTAACTGCTGACTTGTTTTTCCCTGGCTCCCCTAGTAAACTACCTTGAACACAGTATGTGGAGCCTGAAATTTAAACTCAGGGTTCCTGGTGATTTGGAATCTCTAGCATAATAAAGGAAATGAAGCGAGTGGACAGATAGGCAGAAAGGAAGATGGAAATGCAGAGAGCAATAGGGTATCCTCTGTGGTTTAGTGCCTGAAGCAGAGTGGAAAGCGAGAAAGGTCCCGTGATCAAGGATGGGAAGCAAGAGCAGGAGCAGAGAGGGAAGTGGGAATCACAGACAGGTAAGGCTTGACGCCTGCCCACTCCTCCTCTGTCCTTTTTGTGGATAACACACATTGCTTACCCTAGCTGGGTGCCAGCTGATATGGTTTGGAATTGTGTCCCCACCCAAATCTCATCTTGGAGCTCCCATAATTCCCACATGTTGTGGGAGGGGCCTGGTGGGAGATAATTGAATTATGGGGGCTGGTCTTTCTTATGCTGTTATTGTGATACAAATAAGTCTCATGAGATCTGATGGTATTATAAAGGGGAGTTACCCTGCACAAGCTCTCTTTGCCTGCCACCATCCACTTAAGACGTGACTTGCTCCACCTTGCCTTCTGCCATGATTGTGAGGCCTCCTGCACCACATGGAACTGTGAGTCCAATTAAACCTCTTTCTTTTGTAAATTGCCCAGTCTTGGGTATGTCTTTATCAGCAGCATGAAAATGGACTAATGCACCAGTCCACCACAGCAACATTTTGCCAAAGATTCAATTGGCTTCTGATATGGTTTGGCTGTGTCCCCACCCACATCTCTTCTTGTAGTTCCCACAAATCCCATGTGTTGTGGGAGGGACCAGTGGGAGGTAATTTAATCATGGGAGCAGTTTTGCTCCACACTTCTCCTTGCTGCTGCCATGTAAAGAAGGATGTGTTTGCTTCACCTTCCACCACAATTGTAAGTTTCCTGAGGCCTCCCCAGTCCTATGGAACTGTGAGGCAATTAAACCTCTTTCCTTTGTAAATTACCCGGGTATGTCTTTATTAGCAGTGTGAGAACAGACTAATACAGCTTCGCAGGCTTTCTTTCTCACTTTTTTGTTCTGCCAGAAGACTCTAAAGGGGAGAAAGCCATCTGGATGCATTTACCAAAATAAGTTTACTTTTATTTTGAAACAGAAATCTTAGTCAAAGGAGCAAAAGATCAGGGCCAGTTTCCAAGGTCTAGGAAGCTACAGGGACCTGGACTTTGTGGCCTTTTGTGGGAATTGCTGGCAGAAATGGCTTCTCTAGGACAAAGCTTCTGGGTGGAGTCTGAGAACTTGCTCTAAGCAGACTCCAGGAGGAGCACAATCAGAGAAAGCCCTGGAACCAACCCACCAGCCAAACTGCTGGGCTGGGAGAAGTCAGTAGCGGTGCTGACTTCATCAGGGATCTAGAAGCAGCGAAACAACGCTTAGGCCTTAAGGCGTAAGAATGGAGCATTCCTATTTTTTTCCCCCTCTATCAAATATATTCTTTAAATAATATTTTTTATTGCAATAAAATATACATAAGATAAATTTAGTATTTTAACCCTTTTTAGGTGTACACTTCAGTGGCATTAAATATATTCACATTGTTGTATAACTATCACCAGAACTTTTTCTTCTTCCCAACCTTTCTTTCCTTCGCAAACTGAAACTCTTTATCCATTAAACCTTGACTCCCTATTCCCCTCTCCTTCCATCCCCTGGCAACCACCACTCTGGTTTCTGTTTCAATGGATTTTACTACTCTAGGAACCTCAGTGATATTGTTTGGACGTTTGTACCCTCCAAATTTCTTACTGAAATGTGCTGTTGGAGGTGGGCCTAGGGGGAGGCATTTGGGTCATAGGGGCCGATCCTTCATGAATGGCTTTGTGCTGTTCTTGCGATAATGAGTGAGTTCTCGCTTTATTAGCTCATATGAGATCTGGTTGTTTGAAAGAGACCTGGCACCTCTCCCCAGGTTCTTGCTTTCTCTCTCACTGTGTGACATGCTGGCTCTCCTCTGCCTTCTGCTGTGATTGGAAGCTTTCTGAGGCCCTCACCAGAATGGATATAGGGGCTATGCTTCCTGTACAGCCTGTAGAATCATGAGCCAAATAAACTTCTTTTTTTTGTATAAATTACCCAATCTCAGGTATTCCTTTATAGCAATGTAAATGGACTAACACACTCATATAAGCAGACTTATACAGCATTTGTCCTTTTGTGACTGGTTTAATTCTCTTAGCACAATGCTGTAGCATGTGTTACAATTTCCTTCTTTTAAAGCAGAATGATATTCTTTTGCATGTATATACCACATTTTGTGCATCCATTCATCTGTTGATGGACATTTGGGTTTTTTCCCACCTTTTGGCTATTGTGAATAGTCCTTCTATGGGCATGGGTGTATGTTTATGTGTTGAGTCCATGCTTTCACTTCTTTTGGGTGCTGGATCCTATTGTAATTCTAAATTTAATTTTTTGTGGAACCACCATAGTGTTTCTACACATGATTTTAAATAAACCTTTTTATTATGGAAATTTTAAAAGACTACACATAGTAAAAATAATAAAATGAATTCTCCTGTGCACAACATCAGGTTTCAATAGTTGCTTAGGATAATTATTTGGTGTGTAGGGTGGATCAATTTGTTAATTCAACAAATATTTATTGAGCAGTTAAGTACTGAATGATGCATTTGACATGATTCCTATCAGCTGAGGTGACGCTGGGTGGTGGTGAATCTGCAGCTCCAATGTCCTGCCGTGGCAGCATGACTGACTGATGGTGCCAGCTGGCTTTCTGGGCTTGCCATCATGTTTGTGCCGAGTGCACATTTTCAGTGGGCTATTATCAGCCAATAACTGATCATGTTGCTGGCCCATTCCTGTGAGATGCAGGACTCCTCCAACAGTGACTTTGGCTCAGTGGCTTTTCATTGGCCTGGCTGGATCTTTCTTAGAACTGCTCTGGGGTCTGAGAGTCTACTCAATTTTTCTTTCTTCCCACTCTCCTTTCAAAGGAGTCAGTCCTGTCTCAATTTCCAGTCTGTTTTCACCTTCTCCAGCTTAATCCTTGATCCCATAACCCTTCAAGGTGTTTCTCCCAGTAAAACTTCTGCACATCGAATCCTGTCTGCTTCTTGAAGAGCCTGAACTAACACACCTGAGCTTTGGGATTTAAGTAAGACTACCTTGAGCCTTTTATTACAGACATATTGGGAAACCCAACTACATCACCAAGATTTCTGCAAGTTCTAGAGCGCTGATGTCTTCATTCTGGCTCCAAATTATAAGCCCCCTGAACTCCCACATTCAGTTCTGTCTCATTTCACACAGCCTCTCTCTTCCCTGTCATTCATCTAGACTTCTACATAGAATTCAGCCCTCTTTCCTTGATTTCTTCCCAAACGACTTACCACAAGCCCTTTGTGT
The DNA here is from genome assembly GCF_000001405.40 of Homo sapiens. NCBI lineage: Eukaryota > Metazoa > Chordata > Mammalia > Primates > Hominidae > Homo > Homo sapiens. The sequence continues at coordinate 76,818,812 of NC_000013.11, read as the reverse complement.
GTGTATCAGGCATTACTTCAGTTTTGGGTCCTTTTCACATATTAGAAATGCAGACAGTTTGAACTTAAATATGACTTATTCTTGTTTTCGGTGTCCTTCCTTCATCCACTGCCACTAGGAATTTCCCACTGCATTGCCCATCTGTGAGCTGAAGTTTTTTTTATGTTGCTTGACTACTTTTCCCCATTCAGCCAACTTACTTTTCACTGCTTAACCCACCCTCTAAATTCACGTGTACATCTCATACCAAGGAGTTAGCTTTCTCTTAGCTTCTCTTTTCAGTCAGTCTTTGGAACTTTCCTGCCAAAATTTACCTATCAAGGTATTGCCTAACCAATGACAGTTTCCTAAGTGGTCTCCTGAATGCAATTAAAATAGGTGTTTTTCAGCTGCACTACACATAAACATAGATAAAGACCAAGGTGTAGTAGGTGCTGTGATAGAAATGTCTAGTGGGTAGCATGAAGGAGAGGACATTTGATTTGAAATGGAGGTGGGTGAGGTGAGTGAGCTATGTCATAAGCAGGGAGCCCAGCTGGAACCCTATTTGTTGCAGTCGACTTGAGGGAGGCAGTAGGGTCTGGAGAGGAGTGGAAGTGGAGGTACTGAGGAAGTGCCAATATTAAAAAAAAAAGGCCATTGTTGTCAAAGAGCTAAGGCTTATGTAGCATTTATTACGTGCCTTTCTAAGTGCTTTCCATATAACTCAGTGTGTCCTTCCAACAGAACATATTACTGTGCCCACTTTACAGAGGAGCAGAGTGAGGCACAGACTGTGCGATTAAGCAACTTGTCAAATTTATAGAGCTGATAAGTGGTGGAGTTGGAATTTGGACTTAGGCTGGCTCCAGACCCCATAGTTCTTCCCCACTCCTCTTCCTTTAGCTCTAAGACCATGGGGCAGGACTGGTAATTGTTTGAATGTGGATGTCAGAGAAAAGGAATGGTCAGAGTTCATTATCTTAGAAGTTGGCACACTAACCTTTTCACTTGACCTCAAATGCAGGAATAGAAGCATCGTTACTAATGCGTACTTTATTGTAAAAGATAGCAGTGAATATTTATAGCAAGCCAATACCATTTATGTAAGCAGATGCAGTGAATGATGTGAGTGTTATTTATCTTTTGTAATACCATGTACAGGAAAATGATGGGTATTTCTGAATTTAAGTGTCATACATCTTTTGATGTCCCCATTCCTTACAGCTCATAACCGTTTCCTTTCTGAGTTGTAGTAAAATGTCTTCACTATAAAGTGTCATCCTTCACCTGCAATTAAAACAGAATAAGAATATATGAGTGCAAAAGCACATTTTTATTCTTTTCCAGTTCTCATCGCTATGAGCTTGGAATAAAATAAAAAGAAGAGATGGTTGAAATATGAGTCTATGGATTGATTTCTGTGTCCCCTTTCTAAAGCAAGCCAGAAAGTGTTCATATTAAGGTAAATTTTCATTCTAAAAATGTACAGTTTCTTCAAAGATTGGAAGCCACTGACATACAATTGCACACCATGTAAAGTTAGCTTAAAGTAAAAAGACTTTCAATTTATAAATTTCCTGTGCTATTCCTTTAAAGCCTTATTTATTCTCCCTGAAAGCACTCAGCAAAACATGATTGCAATAAAAAATGAATGTCCTAAATGCAAGCTGGAATCAGGGCAACAGCTATTGGTCTGGGATGTGCAAGATATTGACTAAACGCATAACATAAGCTATTTGTATTCTTTATTCACAATCACTTAAGTCTAATTGCTTTAGAAACTAAAGGTAATTTTTGATTTATGTATACAACCTTCTGAGAGAAGAATTTCTGAGCATTTGAAAAGATACATTTATAGGACTGAGTGCATTCTGGGGAAGTCCCATGCTGGTGTGCAAGTGTCTCCGTAGTTTTTATCTTTATTATTTCCATCATGTTTCATTCTCAGACCATCGGCTATGGATGTTACTATTCAGTGACTGAAGCCCCAAACTATCACCCTGACCCTGCTCAGTGGGCTTGACAATGGGACACAGAGTACACACCAAAGGCAGGGAAGCCAAGACACGTGGCCGGCTCATGTGGTGAGTGGGCTCCCTGCACTGGCTTCTCCAACTTGGAGTCATGCTCAGGACATCATAAGGGAAACCAGTAGTCCCTTGCACCTGCTGTGAAGGTTTTGTTGACTTCTTTCTCCAGCCTGTCAGTTTGGCTCTGAGCTTGGTGAATTATGACTCAGCGATGGTTGGTTCCCTGTGTGGGAAGCAGGCGATGCTTTGGTTTGCTAACAGGTGCTTCTTCCTGAAGCAGTTGCCTCCTGCAGCTTCTGAGCCTCTTCTGCCATGTCATTCAGTGCAGTGGGAGTGAGGAGGCAGTAAACACGTCTATACACTACCAGAGAAAACCAGTACCTAGAGACTCTGCCACTCATGTCTACTAAGTTCTCTACTGCAGCTTGTTGGTCAATCTTCATGAACATTTTCAGTAAAGCACTCTGGATGCTTTTATAGGAAAGAGCCCTGCAGGCCATTATCCAACCATTATTATCGCCATTACCGTCACCATCATCAACATTGTCATCAGCATCATCTTCACTGTAGAAATCAAACATTCATTAAGTAGTTAATTCTGGATGATTTTCTGTTTGATGCTGAATCAAAAATTAAACAGTCTAGGTTCTTTCTGTCAAGGATTATGACTGAAGACAGACACACTTATATGGACATACATTTATAGGTATTACAGAAACAGAAAACCAACCTGATATCAGCTAGTGTGAGTAGCTGATTTAAAAGTGGATTCATGATTGGAGTATCAGGAAGAAAACCTTTAGAAATCCCAAGGAAAAGCATATAACTTGCCTCTCTCTAGTTAGTATTTCAGGGATACAGGACAGTAGTAGGATCTATCTTTGCTGAGTCTTGATGATTAAGAAGAGTATTGCGGGGTGTAGAACTGGAGTTTCTATGTGTCCAGCTTTAGAGGGAGGATGAATGAGCTGATGATTGAGTTTTGGTCAGCTATACTTGAGATGGGTAGAAGGAGTACTACCATGGAAAGAATCCAGGTTAAAGAGTCAGGCCAGGGTCTGAATAACAGCCCCATTACCAGCTGTGAGATCTGAGGCAAATCATGCAATCAGAATTTTTTTCACTTCTTTTTATTCATCTGTAAAATAGGAATAGTAACATCTTGCCTGATGTGTTGAAGTTCCCTAGCATGTACCACAAGGAGTAATTATTATCTTGGTACATAAGAAGGGAGAAGACAAATAACAACATCTGAAGGAACCACATCAAAAACTTCGGTGGCTTGGCAATGAGATATTATCTCACACTACTCAGAGTGCCTATTAATCAGAAGTCAAAAAATAACAGATGTAATTCAGGCTTCGAAGAGAAGGGAATGCTTATACACTGTTGGTGGGAATGTGAATTAGTTCAGCCACTATGGAAGGCAGTTTAGAGATTTCTCAAAGAACTTAATATAGAACTACCATGGGACCCAGCAATCTCATTACTGGATACGTACCCAGAGGAAAGTAAATTGTTCCACCAAGAAGACACGCACACTCCTTTGTTCATCGCAGCACTATTCACAATAGAAAGACATGGAATCAATGGTGCCTATCAATGGTGGATTGGATAAAATTGGTACAGATACACCACAGAATACTATTCAGCCATATAAAAGAGTGAGATCATGTCTTTTTCAGCAACATGGAGGCAGCTGGAGGCCATAATCCTACGTGAATTAACACAGGAATAGAAAACCAAATACTGTATATTCTCACTTAAAAGTGGGAGCTAAACAGTGGGTATTCACAGACATAAAAATGGCAACGATTGGCCGGGCGCGGTGGCTCACACCTGTAATCCCAGCACTCTGGGAGGCCGAGGTAGGTGGATCACGAGTCAGGAGATCAAGACCATCATGGCTAACACGGTGAAACCCTGTCTCTACTAAAAATACAAAAAATTAGCCGGGTGTGGTGGCAGGTGCCTGTAGTCCCAGCTACTCGGGAGGCTGAGGCAGGAGAATGGCGTGAACCCAGGAGGCAGAGCTTGCAGTGAGCCAAGATCACGCCACTGCACTCCAGCCTGGCTGACAGAGCAAGACTCCGTCTCAAAAAAAAAAAAAAAAAAAAAAAAAGGCAATAATAGACACTGGGGACTCCAAAATAGGGGAGGGGACAAAGGGACAAGGTTTAAAAACTACCTATTGAGTACTATATTCGCTATTTGGATGATGGGATGATAGAAATCCAAAGCTCAGCATCATGCAATATACCCCCATAACAACTTGCATGTGTAGCCCCTGAATCTAAAAAAAGAGGAAAAAATGACTGGTGGCTTGGATTCTTCATGAATATGCATGTCCTGAAGGTGGTGTGGCCCCAGGTTAAAATCTAGGCTTTGTCCTGCAAGTAGATCCACAATCTAAAGATGGTAAATTAAAAAACTTCAAAACTCTGTATTAAAATGAATTAATCTGGATTGTTTCTGCCATAGGCACAGAACTCTATGTCCCACTGGTGTTTCAACAGTGGCTGTGGAGGCAGCAGGACAGGGATCTTTGCAGATGTAGGTAACCTTAAAGTGCTCCACACTATATCTCTGCATATTGTCTGCCAGTGCTCAACCACAGCTTCCCTTTTATAAGTTTCCACCTGGTTCCACAGTAGCTGAAGGCTGCCCAGGCTGCAGGAGAGAGGCTCTGGGATCCAGAGGACTTTGCACCAGAGGAGTGAGCTGAGGCTTGTTCCTGCCCCACAGCATTCAGCTGGCACAATGCCATGAGGATGTATCTTCAGAGCAGCCACCAGGTGCCTTGTGAGGAATGTGTGCAGAACAGATGAAAGCTGCACAATTTCTGATTTAGAAATTTAGCCTAAGCTAAAGGTTCTCAAACTTTTCCACCCCAAGATCCTCTGTTCCTCCTTTCTCTTCTCACCCCTCGCACAAGGAGACAGTGAGGAGGAGTAGGCATGGGGTCATTAGGAGACCCGAATTCTAATCCTGGCTCTGTCCTGTGTCATCTTTGGGTCCCCACTACTCCTTCCAAGCTTATGATCTCACCAGCAAACGAAGAAGGCAGAGAGAAGTTCCTCTACATTTTAATGCCTGGGACATAAACTCTAGGGGCAGGTAGAACTCTGGCCCCATGTGGCTCTGCACACAAAGGCCATGGCACCCCATGGTGGCCCACATGCTTGAGTGCATGTGCTCAGATCTGTGCTTTTCTGTTCCTCTGCTCTCCTGACAGCCCCTGAGGCTTTCCATTTTCCACCCACCTTCTGTGTAGAGCAGAGGGTGCAGAGAGAGCTCTCGCTTAGGAAGGAGGTGAGAGGAGTCAGAGTCTGCGGCAGGAACTGGAAACCCTGGGTCGCTTTGGGAGGGTGGGGATGGTGAGGCAGCAGAAAGTTTTACATTCATTTCTATTTGCCTGATGGAAATGAAAACCAGGTCGCTAGGAGCCAGAGGCCATCCAATAAACATTGTTTCTGGGACAGGAATTGGGGTGCTTTACTTCCAGAAAATTCCACTACTCTGCTTCAGGACTCTTGCATGAAATCTTTCAACACAGCATGGTTGGCTCAAAGCTTGGCATGGTTCCTTAGCCAGTGGCCTTCCTGTAGGGCTGATCAGGCTGCCAAAAGTGGCTCATTGTGTTTTGGGACAGTGGGGCTTAGTGGAACCTATGATCTCATTCTCACACTTTCCTCTTCACAGTCCACATTGGAACAATAAATCTCATACCCAAGATGGGGCTAAAGAGGCTGAAATGAGAGCTGGGTCAACACATGGAAAATGAAGTAATGGATTAGGAAAATTGTTATAAGAAAAACTGCATCAATGTAGCACCTTTGTTATCTGTATTTCCCAGATGAAACCTCCAGAATGACTTGATTTCTTGCATACAGATACATCTAAGGCAATGAGATTTCGTGGTCCATTGTATACTCTGCCTGGTGCCTAGTGATATATGTTCAATGGAGGTAAAAGTGCAGAATATGCTCAGTAAAATTTTTTATGGTTTCTTAGAAATGACTGCCATCCTTAGCACTTGGCATGTGAAGCAGCAGATGGAGTCACAACATCCCCAGGGGAGTAAGGACATGTGCAGATATTTCTTTCTTACTCCAGTGCATTTATTACTGAGACACAGGGAGGATTATGGAATATGATACCTTTGCTCATCACTGCTCAAGACTAAATTCAGCCAAATTTGCTCCTGTTAGAGAAGTGAACTTAGATGGTTCCTTTAATGAGGCAAGAAGGGGAAATTCCAATTTTCTTTCCGAGCTCAATGCAGCCTGTCCCAAGGGCTGAGGGTCCGGATGCTGAGCTGGGCACTGACTTGGATTTGGAAGGAGCAGTGTCAGCAGATCTGGAGGCTCAGCCCTAGATTGGAAACAGATGCCATAAAAGCAGAACAGAATCCATTCTGAACAAGCCCTTGGCTGCCGCCACAGCTCACATGGCCACCATCTGCTACAGTAATGTCCCCACCATGACACACTCCCTGCTTCTTCTGATAACCTTCCCATGTGAGTACTGCTGCCTGACTTGGGAGGTTGTAAGCTGTAAGTAATGGCTTTAGCTCCTCAGCTTAAGCCAAGAGCAGAATTCTCTAGGATTGGTCCTAGCAAAGAGAGAAGTAGGCTGTTGCCTTCATCTGCCTTTATCTTCTTCTCCCTTCTCTCTTGTGTCAATTCTCTCTTCTCAATCATTATCCCCTCCCCAGGCATCTGGTGCACTCTTGCCTCACCAGTTGCATCTGTGACCAGGTTGAAGCAATGAACTTCTAACTCCCAATGCAGTAGAATTTACAGTTTGAAGAAAGCCACAGGAAGAAAGCAATGCTTATCCCAGTGAACTGATTTTTAAAGGCTGGCTTAGCAGGTGCTCAGCATTGCCTGCTCCTGGGATAGTGAAATCCTTTTGATCAAGGTGGCCTCTAGAGTGCCTATTCTTCAAACCAGACCATCTGTGTCATTTGCTGTGCATTTGTGGCACTGACACAAATTAATTTCTAATCCTGCCCTCAGAGTAGTAGCACTCAAGTACTGGTGCTGTTGGCACATAGCAGGCTGCACTGGGGACAATTTCTTCAAATATTTTGGTACAATTTAATTTGGCCTCTATTTTTAACATAAGGTTCAGACCTTGTACTAACTGTAGGGTATTGGGTGTCTTAGTTCAAGCTGCTATAATGGAATATCATAGTCTGGGTGGTTTAGACAGCAGACATGTATTTCTCACAGTTCTAGAGGCTGGGAAGTCCAAGATCAAGGTGTTGGCTGATTTGGTTTCTGGTTAGGGATCTTTTCCTGGACTGCAGATGGCTGACATCTTTCTGTGTCCTCACATAGCAGAGAGGAAGAGGGAGAGAAGGGGAGGGAGTGGGGAGAGAGGGAGACAGAGAGAGAGAGAGAGAGACAGATTGAGAGGAGAGAGTGAGAGAGCATGAAAGTGCTCCAGTCTCTTTATATAAGGGCATTAATCTTACACAAGGACCAGCCCCCCTCTCATTACCTCTTCTAAATTTAATTATCTTCCAAAGGTTCTACCTTGAAATACCATCATACTGGGGCTTAAGAATTCAACACATAAATTCTTGGGGTGGGTGGGGGGGACAAAATCATTCAGCCCATAACATTGAACAAATCACTTAATTTCTCTGTACCTCCCTTTGTCATCTGTAAAATGCAGATTATGCTAGGATCTACTTACAGTGTGGTTTTAAGGATTGAGTGAGATGGTATATGCACAATGCTTAGAATTTGGTAAAGGCTCAGTCACTGGTAGGTCTTCTCTTTCCCCTTTCTTCTTAGCAAGAGTTTTTGGTACTATGGCATGTCTGCTCTAGTGTCTTAGAATCATGAAAACATAGAGCTAAAAGGAACTCTACAAATGATTTCATCTAGTTCTTTTACTTTTCATATAATGAACAGAGGGTGAAAATGTGCAAAAAAAAAAAAAAAGTTTCCCAGTGCTTTAGTGGATGAACAGAGTCAAGAACCTTAGTGTTCTGAAGTCAAGTCTATTGTTCTTTCAACAATCTCATTGTGTCTCAAGTACTAATTGGTATTTTAGTTACAAATCTGCCATTCCAGACTTTTCCTTTGGCAAGAAATTTGTGCTTAGAAAGTCAACTTAGTAATAAGATTTTTTTTTCTTAGTTAAAAGTAGAATATCTAAACATTTGGGGATGAGACCATCAAATGAATGACATTTGCTTCAAAAACAGACAAAATATATTCTTCTCTGGGGGAAAAATAACACTAACTTTTATAGGCAAAGGTGACTTGAATAAAAATATCCCATGGCCCTTGAGCTCAGATATCAGGAAGTGTATCAGTCCATTCTCACACTACTATAAAGAACTACCTGAGACTGGGTAATTTATAAAGAAAAGAGGTTTAATTGACTCACAGTTCCATAGGCTGTACAGTAGTCATGTCTGGGGAGGCCTCAGGAAACTTAAAATCATGGCAGAAGGTAAAGAGGAAGCAAGCACATCTTCACATGGCAATAGGAGAGAGAGAGAGTGAAGAGGGAAGTGCCACACACTTTTAAACCATTAGATCTTGTGAGAACTCACTATCACAAGAATAGCAAGGGGGAATATGATACAATCACCTCCCACCAGGTTCCTCCTCTAACATTGGGAATAAAATTCAGCATGAGATTTGGGTGGGGACACAGAGCCAAACCATATCAGGATGATTCATCTTAGAAATAAGGCATTTCACATGCAATTAACAGGCAACTCAAGAACATTGTTTAAGCCTATTAATATTATGAAGAGTGAGAAAAAATGGTACATTCAGGCATGGGTGGAGAAGTAAAGGACAGATAAGTGTGGGATGAAGGAAAACAAAAGACAGAAAGGTCAAAGTTGGCCTTGTCCATTCAAGCTGTCTCCCAAGAGGGGGAAAGACCCACATCTTCAATAGCTTGATGCATTGACTCCTAGAGACAGGCATGTTCCTACTGTGGAAATGAATGAACTGAAAGTCAGGTAATCCCAGTCTTGCAATTAACAATGTTGCCAGGCTCACAAAGTGGACTTCTGCTGTCATATGTATTTCCACATTGTACTCATATCCAGAGAGACTGGGCTGGCTATAGAAACACATGAGGATCTTGGATACTTGCATAGATTGATGTAGATGAATATGTTGGCTTTCTTGTTTACTCCTCAATCTCTATTGACTTTAAATTCCCAAGAGATGAATCCACCCATGGATGCTGACCACATCAAATATCAGAGCCTACAAAAGGAAGGACTTAGCCTTGTCTCAGGGAGAATAAGCCTGGAAGCCCTCCTGGTGACACTTCTAACTTAACCACACCTTCTTTTAAACTCCTTTAGATCTAATCAGGGCAATTATTTATATACGGAGTATTGAACTACATTTCCTTCAGCTATGTCAATGCTTAATTTTGACCTATTTTTCTTATCTAGGCTCTTGCTCTGCCTTCTCCTCCCAATTCCTGTTTTTCATTTCAAAGGCTACTTATGAGTCTACTCATTGTTGAAACAATCTTGAGAAAGTGAAATGTGACTTATCACCCACTGGCCATACTTGACGTATGCTATAGTCTTGTTTCAGATGAAATGTTTTATTACCATATTTTCTAAGAAATGAATCATTTCTGGGTGTGTTTCCAAGAAACAATCAATTTAATAATAAATATATGTGTCTTTGTGTAATGTGTAATATAAAAATATTTGTCTTAACAATAATATTTGACTTTATGGTCATGCCTTAAGCAGGGAAGAATGTGACACAGGATTTCCCACCAGATGAAGGGAAAGGATCAAAAACACGACTGCCAATGAAAAAGGTGCCTTTTGTAACAAGAAAACAACAATAATAGTATCTCTCCATATATGTATATCACTTCACATCTGTTATGTACAGGCTCTTTTACATCATCTGCAGTGTTTTCAGAAGCATAACTGCCCAGTGCAATGCTGTAGTGAAAAACAGTGTAGTAAGCCCACGGTCTCCACGGTGGGCACCTCAGAATGAAGGTGCATATCAGTCAAGGTAGATTCACTAGAGACAGCTATGTTCCTGGTGAAGAGATGAGTGGACTGAAAGTCATGTAATCCTAATCCTGCAACTAACAATGTTGCCAGGATCACAAAATGGACTTTGGCTCTCAGTATGTATTTCCATGTTGTACTCATAGCCAGAAAGACTGGCCTGGCCATGGGAGAAACATAAAAGGGTCCTGGATACTTACGTGGATTGATGTAGATGAATACATATAGATGAATATGTATATGAATATGAATATGTATATTCATATAAATATGTATATGAATATGAATATGGTATTAGGCCCTTCTTGCATTGCTATTAAAAACACTTGGGACTAGGTAATTTATATTGAAAGGAGGTTTAACTGGCTCACAGTTCTGCAGATTGTACAGGAGCATGGCGCTGGCATCTGCTGAGCTTCTGGGGAGGCCTCAGGAAGCTTATAATCATGGCAGAAAGCGAAATGGAAGCAGCATCTCACATGGTGAAAGCAGGAGCAAGAGAGAAGTAGGGGGAAGGTGTCACACTTTTAAACAACAAGATCTTGTGAGAACTCACTCACTGTCCTGAGAATAGCACCAAGCCATGAGGGATTTGCCCCCATGACCCAAACACCTCCCACCAGGCTCCACCTCCAACACTGGGGATTATATTTCAACATGAGATTTGGTGGGGACACACATCCAAACCATATCACTGCTGTAACACAAAATTTGAGTAAAGAATGTATAATGGCTTAAACACAATAGAATTTTATTTCTTGCTTGTGGAACATCCTAAAGAGTGTTTTTTGTTTGTTTGTTTTTTAGATTAGAGCTTCCTGGTGACGATTTAGGGACCTAGGCTCTTTCCGTCTTGTGGCTCTGTCATCTTTGCCATGTGGCTTCCAAAGTGGTTATGTTTGTTGCACCAGGCTGGCAGATGGGAAAAAAGCAAGAATTACCATGCATGGAAGTTTCATGGGCCAGACCTGAGAGTGGTGCACACTCCTCACAATCCATCTGTTGGAATTCAGTCTCATGGCCGTACCTCACCACGAGAGAGCTGGAAATTGAGGTCTAGCTGTGTGTCCAGGAAAGAAGAGAGAAGGCTACCAGTCTCTGCCACTTAAAAGGAGGCTGAAAAATACTGAAAAGCATAATTAAATTGGCAGCACCAGGGCATCCTGCCAAAGGGAACATGTTATTTTGCTTATAGCATCAGTGGAGAGGCCTGGAAGTTCTGACTGTTATACTTTTTGGAGAGAAGTAGAAAGCAAGTTTCTGAAGGAGAGATGTGAAGTTTAGGGCAGAAAAGAGAAATTCAGCCCCATTTACATTTCTAGAATCCTCCTCTCAACTATAAACATATGAGGCTCTTAATTGACATTTAGTTCATGATATTTCTGCATCTGACCCAGCTTCCTACCAGGGCATGGGGAATTATCTTATTAAAGAGCTTTGCTGTGGGCTGTGGAGAGAAGTGGAAGGCCATTGCGTCCTGGGATTCTATTTTTTGACCTGATGTTCACTTGGCCTTCAGGATCAGAGGCAGAGGGCTCTCTAGTCAGCAGGTTTCTAATAGGGTGCAGAGGGATGAAGTTGATCATTGGAGCAAAAGAACACATGGCTTTTTCTTGTTTCCCAAATCTCTGTTCTTTCCCTCATTTCCCTTCACTGAACATGACTTTTTTCTCTGGGAAAATATTTGGGCAGATCCCTTACCTTGTTGCTTCCCCCATCATCTTCCAAGTTATGCAAAATGTCATCTATAGACATGTTGTATGGAAGTTCGAGGAGAAGAGTCACAGGGCCAGCCCCCAGGCACAACTGCAAAGGAGGTGACATGATTTGGGCACGTTTGCCTTTTCCTTCAGTAGGTGTCTTCCCAGACAGATATGTCTCCTGAGCTTATTTCTAGTGTTCTTGGTTGGAAAAATACCTGAGTAAGTGAATTTTTATAAAATATTAGCTGTTGTGTGGGAGTAGCAGTGGGTATTGGCATTATATCAGACAGCTCTTCACACATCTTCAGAACAGGTCCCCATTGACAGAATTTCTGGCTCTGTGGCAACTGTTGGGGGTTATATCCTGGGCAAAAATATTTTCATTGTTCTCAAAAAGCTATAGACAGCTTCATAATTCTTGAGATCAGTCTTCTTGGTGAAGTCGGTTGATTTCATCCCAGTCCTGAATGGGATTCATTTTCCCATATACATGGAACGAATCACTGGGTAGATTAAAAACAGTTCTCTGCTACTCTGAATAATTTTCTTTATAGGTTTGAAATTCTCATCTTTAGACATGTACCGAGTTAAGCAATTGTAAATGTTGGAGGTATTATTTAGCGGGAGTGGTGCTGGAGTTGGGGCATTTGGTCTATACTTAGTGTAGCCAGGCACGGTGGCTCATGCCTGTAATCCCAGCACTTTGGGAGGCCAAAGCAGGAGGACAGCTTGAGCCCAAGAGTTCGAGACCAGCCTGGGCAACATGGCGAAACCCTGTCTCCACCAAAAATACAAAAATTAGCTGGGATGGTGGTGAGTGCCTCTAGTCCTAGCTACTTGGGAGGCTGAGGTGGGAGGATGGTTTGAGCCCAGGAGGTGGAGGTTGCAGTGAGCCGAGATTGCACCACTGCACTCCAGCCTAGGCAACAGAGACATACCCTGTCTCAAAACAAAACAAAGCAAAAAAGTGTAGCTCAAACAAACAGAAGAAGTTTTTAACATTTTCATGTTCTAGGTATCAACAGATTTGACAGCAACACTGGAAGAGATTGAAAGTCTCAGAACAGCATAACAAGTAAGCCACAATTACTTTGCATTTCCCATCACAGTATAGCAGTGCTTGACAGTGTCCATTAAAGTCTTCTCTGTTTCCACACTTCTCACTAGTTTGCCCCAGTGGTGTCCATTTTGAGTAGACCTATTGACTTCTTTGAACTCATCCTTTTATATACTCACAAGACAAAATTTTTGTGTGTTCTGGTGAACAGACAGTCTTTCTTTGGATTCAGATAAATTATTTTCCTCACCTCTTATTCATAGCAAATTGTACTCTACTCTGTAAAATTTAAATCAAAATATGGCAGCACACCCAGCAAGTCCCATGGCTGGGTGTGGCCATCACTGACTGAGAACCAATGTGAGTACCTCTCTACACCTGCTAGTTTATATGAATAACTCTTAGGGAATAAGGACTTGAGGAAGTGTTTATAAAAGTACTAGAGTATGAGGAACTTCTACAAAGGCCTGAATATGCAAAGATAAACACTGACTATCTAGGTGGTAGCACGAGGCTATTTTGTTATTATAGAGGGTCCTGTGGCTTGAATTGTGTCTCCCAGAAAGACAGGTTGAAGTCTTCACCCAATACCTGTGAATATAACCTTGTTTAAAAATTAGGCTTCTGTAGATGTAATCAAATTAAAAGGAGGTCACCCTGGATTATGGTGGGCCCTAATTTAATGACTGCTGTCCTTACACAAAGAGGTAAATTTGGATACAGGAATACAGAGACAGACGATGGAAACAGAGATTGGGGTGATGTCACTGCACGCTAAGAACGGCAAGGTTTGCCAACAACCACCAGAAGCTAGAAGGGAGGCCTGGAATGAATGCTCCCTCAGAGCCTCCAGAAGGAACCAACCCTGCCAACACCTTGATTTTGGATGTGTAGGCTCTGGAGCGGTGAGAGAAAAAATTTCTGTTGTTTTAAGCCACCCAGTTTGTGGCACTTTGTTGTGACAGTGCTAGAAGGATGGTGATGTTGCAATTGGGCTTTTTCTCCATCGTCGTAGCCTATGTTTCAGTTTTGCCTTGTGTGGGTATCATGGAAACCCTGGAAATGTCTACTGATGGGGAAGTTACTTTGGTATAATATTGCTCCCATTTGGAGCCGAGAGAATTGCTCTCTTTGTCTCTCTCTGTCTCTGCCTCTGTCTCTCTCATCCTTCCCTCTTTCTCCTGGCATCTCAAAAGCTCACTAGTTTGTAAAAGCACCACAGTGATACCTAATATTTTCTTTAAAAATGTGTATTGATGCTGGGCACGGTGGCTCACGCCTGTAATCCCAGCACTTCGGGAGACCGAGGCGGGCTGATCACCTGAGGTCAGGAGTTCAAGACCGGCCTGGCAACATGGTGAAACCCCGTCTCTACTAAAAATACAAAAATTAACTGGGTGTAGTGGTGGGTGCCTGTAATCCCAGCTACTGTGGAGGCTGAGGCAGGAGAATCTCTTGAAACCAGGAGGGGCGGAGGTTGCAGTGAGCCGAGATTGCACCATTGCACTCCAGCCTGGACACCAAGAGCAAAACTCCGTCTAAAAAAACCAAATATATATATACATATATATGTATATGTATATATGTATATGTATATATATGTATATATGTATATGTATATATATGTATATGTGTATATATATGTATATGTATATATATGTATATGTGTATATATATATGTATATATATTGACAGGGGCCTATGTTTTTCTTTTTCATTTTCAAATGCTGACGTTTTCAGTGAGGCCTTTCTTGTCAATACTGCAGGGCTTCAATCAAACAGCACTTGAAGTCTTTTCAAAAACCTGCAAGATTGAAAAAGATTTTAGCCTGTTAGAAAGGGGAATAATAGGTTTCATACACCCTCCACATTCCTATAAATATCTCCTCTTCCCTTGCTGTTAAGAACTCTGAAAGCGATGTGGAGGGTGTGGCAGCACAGGGCAGCATGAAGGGGAAGAGGAACTAGCATTTTGTGGGTTCTGCTGATGTACTGATTATCCCAGAACAGTCAGTTGAATCCAAGGAGCCTGTTAACACCATTCCAGCAGTCCTACAGCTGCCTTTGATATTTAGAATTGAGGAGGTTGAGAAAACCCAGTCCAATTAAACACATGGTATTTTAATCAAATAAGGATTAAAAGCAAGCAAAGACAAAAATAGTACCTTTACTGATTTCTGGGAGGAAATTAAATCAGACTTACTGCACAGGGAGAGAAATGATATTATAAGTTTATAAAAGAGGAGACCTTAAATTCTGCAACATTAAGTTAATGCTCCTGTATCAACTAAGCAAAGAAATTCCTTCGTTGTTGGGTGATATGCGGAAATCAGGATAGTTAGAAGCTATTAAAAAAGATCACAAAAAATGAGCAATAAAATATTGCCAGCAATTTGAACATAATACACTATGTACATATTGAAGAGTAGATAAAATATTCTTGCTGCATAGAATATAAAATTCTTCAACGTGGAGAGATGATTCACTCATCTGCTATTGGAATTCTTGCTGAACAACCCTGTTGCCAATTTCAATCGATATTCCATTGAAGGTATTACCACATTTCAGAATACACCAACAGGTCTGGAGATGTTATAAATATATATCAAGTGTAGGGATCTCAAGTGTAGAGGGGTCTGGCTTATGACACAAAACAAGTTGGAAAGGAAAAGGGGAATTTATAATCATCCAGCCTAGGTCATTTTAAGACTTGCAAATCTAAACTAAAAACTGTTAGATTTTATGTTTGATGAGTACATCTTTTGTCTTAATTTTGCTTAGAGAAGGAGTAAGTTGTTATTTAGCTATATTTATGGATAAACATTTTGATTAAATTCAATAGCAATAGGCTGGGTGTGGTGGCTCACACATGTAATCCTAGCACTTTGAGAGACTGAGGCATGAGGATCACCTGAGCCTGGGGAGGTCAACGGTGTAGTGAGCCAGGATTGTGCCACTGCACTCCAGCCTGGGCAACAAATTTCAGAACACACCACCAAGTCTGGAGATTATGTGTGTGTGTGTGTGTGTGTTTGTGTGGTGTGTATTATATATATATGTATGTGTATATAAAAATGTATGTGTGTGTATATATATGTGTGTGCATATGTGTATATATATATGTTTGCTGCCATTCTCCCCATAATAAAATCCTGAATTTTCTTCTTTTTTAAAAAAATTATAATTGCCCCTCTATCTCTACTACCTCTGCTGTGCTCTGGGTCTTGACCAGCTTTCATCTGGACTTGTGAAACTTCCTTCTCTGTGTCCCCTTTGTCATTCACAAAAGCTTGTGAAATGTCTTAAAATGATGTCTTCTCAGCTCTTGCCATTTCCCTGGAGAGAGCTCCTGGCAACCTTTCTGCCTGAAAATTCAACTTCCCTGGATCCTATTTACTCACTGATTAAGAGAATGCATCTTCCCATATATAGTAATTGCCCAGAGTGCAAATACTGATGTGTTCTTACTCAGGGTTTATTTCATAAGTAACAGTAACAGTCAGGGTCCATGGGTTGTAGGCAACAGAAACTGACTTTGGGTAATGATATGGTTTTGCTGTGTCCCCACCCAAATCTCATCTTAAATTGTAGTTCCAGTAATCTCCAGGTGTCGTGGGAAGAACCAGGTGGAGATAATTGAAACATGGGGGTGGTTTCCTCTATCCTGTTTTCATGATAGTGAGTTAGTTCTCACGAGATCTGATGGTTTTATAAAGGGCTTCTCACTTCACTGAGCACTCATTCACCTTCCTGTCACCATACGAAGAAGGACATGTTTGCTTCCCCTTCCACTATGATTGTAAGTTTCCTGAGGCCTTCCTCAGCCATGCTGAACTGTGAGTCAATTAAGCCTCTTTCCTTTATAAATTACCCCGTCTTGGGTATGTCTTTATTAGCAGTGTGAGAATGGACTAATACAGGTAATTTAAGAAGAAGGGAATCTCCTGGGAGGTAGGCACTTGGATTTATTGTTGCAGCAAGACTATTTAATTAAAAAATGTAATTCTCCAAAAGACATTTGTGTCCTATAGGAAGGAGAAGTGGGTGCTGAGTTGTCAAAATATTAAACACAAATATACACAACTATTACAAGAATACTTACATATTTTTATTTGATTTATAGATATTAGATTGGTGCAAGAGTAATTGTGATTTTTTCCATTAAAAGTAATGGCAAACTCCAGTTACTTTTGCACCAACCAATACATTTGTGTGTATACACATATCTATGCCATTTTTTTTCTTCTGAGACAGAGTCTGGCTCTGTTGCGCAGGATGGAGTTCAGTGGCATGATCTCGGCTCACTGCAGCCTCCACCTCCCAGGTTCCAGTGATTCTCCTGCCTCAGCCTCCTGAGTAGCTGGGACCACAGGCACCACCATGCCTGGCTAATTTTATATTTTTAGTAAAGACAGGGTTTCACCATGTTGGCCAGGATGGTCTCGATCTCCTGACCTCGTGATCCACCTGTCTTTGCCTCCCAAAGTGCTGGGATTACAGGCATGAGCCACCGTGCCTAGCCTAAGCCATTTTTAAAATACTATCTTGCCATGATAGTGCTGAATACCTCATGATCAAAGTCTTAGATTTGATATGGATTTTGAAGGGCATGAAACACTTATTTGAAGATTATTTTGTGGAGATAATTTTCTCTAAATGGAATGATTTCCTTTTTAGGATCTAGCTTGGAAGGAACGAGGGTAATGCTCTGAATCAAAAACACATCTGTTGATTTATGGAGTGCTTCACTAGTGACTTGGACATAAACAGATCATTAATTTCATAATGATTGAAAAGGTGGATGAAAATGCATAGAGAGAGAAAGTGAGAGGGGGTTGAAATTACAGCTCTCACCACAAAAATCATAACTATAAGGCGATGTACATGCTAATCAGCTGGATTTAACCACTCCACAGTGTATATATACACTTCATCATGTTGTATGTCATAAATACATACAACTTAATTAAAAATAACTTTGGAAAAAAATTACAGCAGGATCACTGGTCTTTGGACATATTCAGGGAAGGGATCTCAAGTGTAGAGGGGGCTGGCTTATGATACAAAACAGGAAGTTGGAAAGGAAAAGGGGAATGAATTTGTAATCTAAACTAAAAACTGTCAGGTTTTATGCTTGATGAGTATATCTTTTGTCTTAATTTTGTTTAGAGAAGGAGTAAGTTGTTATTTAGTTATATTTATGGATAAACATTTTGATCAAATTCAATAGAAATAGGCTGGGCGTGGGGGCTCATGTCTGTAATCCCAGTACTTTGGGAGGCCCAGGAAGGAGGATCGCTTGAGCCCAGAAATTCAAGACCAGCCTGGACAACATGGCAAAACCCTGTCTCTACAAAAAAAATACAAAAATTAGTCAGGTGTGGTGGCCTGCGCCTGTAGTCCTAGCTACTTGGGAGGCTGATGTGGGAGGATCACCTGAGCCTGAGGAGGTCGAGGCTGCAGTGAGCCAGGATCGTGCCACTGCACGCCAGCTGGGGCAAAAGAGTGGAACTCTGTCTCGAAAACAAAAAAACAAAACAGCAAAAAAACCCAAATTCCATAGAATTTGGTTTTTATTTTTATTTAATTAAAAAGTGGGATCATCACATTTTAAGTCGATATACAAGTACACTTAAGAGGCCTGCCTTTTTTTTTTTTCAAGAAGTGAGTATTGTTAAATATGTCCTAGTAATTTAACAAACACTGATGTTTATGATTAAAAAAACCCTCTTATGTTTCTATGTTTTGAATTTTGATTTTTTTTGTTAGTGGCTTGATCTGTTATTACTGATATACATTCTCTGTGAACTACGTTTGCTTTTAGTATAAGAGTGGACATTTCAAAGCTACTAGTAGCGTTAAATATTATTTAAGTGGATAAGCAAAAAGAAGTTTACTTTGTGTAATTTCCTCTTAAATTCAATGAAGTTGTGGCTTTATTTTATTTTATTTTTTACAATTCTCTCACGATAGTGTTCAGCTGAAGTTAGTCTCTGTTTTCCTCAGTTGTCCAATGGTGAATATTACTTTATCACCTCCAAGGCTGACTGTGTATGTAAGAATCACAAGATGGTCTACTCTCAGCTGTTGTCTTAGTGATACGGGGCTTTATGAGCTTGCCAATCATTTAACAACTAAAGCAGGAAGTGAATAGTAATGTGTTTGGTCTCCAAGGTGAAAAGTCAACAGACTCCACATTACTGTAATTTTCTTAATGACTGAATCTTTAGCCATAGCATTAACATACGTTGTGTAGTCTTTTTGTTTGTTTTTTTGAGAAGGAGTTTCACTCTTGTTGCCCAGCCTGGAGTGCAGTGGAGCAATCTCTGCTCACTGCAACCTCTGCCTCCCGGGTTCAAGTGATTCTCCTGCCTCAGCCTTCCAAGTAGCTGGAATTACAGGCATGTGCTACCATGCCTGGCTAATTTTTGTATTTTTAGTAAAGACGGGGTTTCAGCATGTTGGTCAGGCTGGTCTCAAACTCCTGACCTCAGGTGATCCACCCTCCTCGGCCTCCCAAAGTGCTGGGATTAACGGTGTGAGCCACCGCACCTGGCATTTTTTTTTTTTTGAGATGGAGTTTTGTTCTTTTGCCAAGGCTGGAGTGCAGTCGTGTGATCTCAGCTCACTGCAACCTTTGCCTCCTGGGTTCAAGTGATTCTCCTGCCTCAGCCTCCCGAGTAGCTGGGATAATTATAGGCACCTGCCACCATGCCCGACTAATTTTTGTATTTTTTAGTAGAGATGGGGTTTCACCATGTTGGTCAGGCTGGTCTCGAACTCCTGACCTCAGGTGATCCACCCGCCTCAGCCTCCCAAAGTGCTGGGATTACAGGTGTGAGCCATCACACCTGGCCCTGCTGTGTAGTTTTGAAAGCAGCAGTGCATAAATAGAAATGTGGACTTTTCAAACAAAATCTTAATCAAGGAACTTTAATGTAGGGATAATAGCTCTCTGGGAACTGGATGTGGTCTGGTGGAGAAACTGCTGGACCAGAAAGTGGACTTAATCATGGGAGAGAGCTTGTGTTAGAAAGAGATAAGCTAGGATGTTTTACCTTGGATAAAGTGGGCAGGGCTTCTCTCTCTGCGTTTTCTGCCACGTTCCCACTCCCTCTGCTCCCTCTTACTCCTCGCAAGTCCCTTAGAAGCCTCTGTCTATGGGGGTGGTTGCTAAAGCTGGGCTTAAAGGCTTTTCTTCTATTATTCTTACAGAATCTCCCTGGAGTAGGCTAATATTATCACCATTTTATAGATGAAGGAACATATGTCACTAGCCCACAATTATAAAGAAAATGGCAAAGCAGAGATTAGAAAATTGTTCTGTGCTTAGTTACCTAAAAAAGGCTCTTGATATTCATGTGATTAATCCCAGAGTAAGTGGTATGAAGGTTCAGAAATATCTGGAAAATTTCAGAAGCAAAACTGTCCCCCTACCTCCATGCATTTTTTTCCCTTTCTTTTTTTCTAAAAAAATTTCAGCGGGAAACTTCCCCATGCTTTCAAAAAACAAGAAAGAAAAAATTTTCTCCCTTTTTCCCATCAAACATTTTAAAAATAGGTTTTTATACCTCAACCCAGAGAAAGTGGAAAATTGGTTATTATTTCAAGATCCAGTATTTCGAGGGTCCTGTACACACACTTAAAACAGTATCTGGAGTCAGGGTTCTGCAGCAAGAAGAAGAAGGAGGTGTGGCCACCAGCAGATGCTAAGTGAACCCTGTGGTGTTCATGTGTCATCAGCAGCATATAATGGCCTCTCACTACCACAGTTCTCTGAGGCCATGAGGAAGGTTGGTTGCCGGGCAGTGCCCTGGTGCTGTGTCATTTAGGACATATGTTTGCAGCCATCTTAGGAAATTTCTTCCTCTCTCACTGTTTCTTCTGCTTATATCACTTGTCAAAATCTAAGGCAAGTAAAAGCAGAAGTTAACTTTATGGCCAGGCATGGTGGCTCACACCTGTAATCCAAGCACTTTGGGAGGCCAAGGCAGGAGGATCAATTGAGCCCAGGAGTTGGAGACCAGCCTGGACAACATAGGGAGATCCCATCTCTACCCCCTCCACCCACCACAAAAAAAAAAAAAAAAAAAAAAAAAAAAGACAGGCAAGGTTGCATGTGCCTGTAGTCCCAGCTACTGGGGACAGGTGTGTGGGGGTGGCACTGAGCCTGGGAGGTTCAGGCTTCAAGGAGCTGTGTTTGTGCCACAGCACTCTAGCCTGTGTGACTGAGCCAGTCCCTGTCTCAAAAACCGAAGCAAAACAAAAAGTAGTTAACTTTTGTAATATTAGACCTCACAAATGAGGGGCTGTGACAAACGCTGAAGAATGTAGTATACTGAATCAATTGTTGATTTATTTCTTATCTTAACTCTATCTGGCACTTAGGTGAGCTTCATCACGTCACAAGTCTCCAAGCCTCAGTGACCTCATTGGTGAAATGGAGCCCATTTTCCTGGTCTTGGCAGGACGTTCTGAAGTATAACTGAGTTAAGAGATGCGAAGGTGCTATATATAGCAGAAGCTAGCTCTATGTTGGACACTTTGTTCTGACCTGGGATTATAACTCAGATTTTTCAGAGGAGGTTAGGATTCCACTTTTTGGAGTTACATTTTAGCATCAGCTATCTACATAACAACATAGAAATGTCCTGACAGAGCAGCATGGTGTTTGGAACTCAGGTCTTGTGTTTCATAGTTGATCATTACTCCAATCTCTCCGAGTTTGTGAAACTGCCACAAAATTACACAAAAACAAAACAGCATCTCACATTCTGTTTGTAAAAGCATCACTTAGTCACCTAGGGCATAATAAATGGAAAGTTGTAGGGCTTAGAAAATGATCAGGTGTTAAGAGAAGCACAGAATGTACTATCATGTTTCAAAGGTTAATAAGCTTTTCCTGTTTCTGTTTTTTTTTTTTCTCTATAGTATTTTACCATCTCACATGACGCTGCTTCTCCAGATGAAGCCGAGATTGAAATGTCACACCGGCAGGATCAATTAGATGTTGTAGAATAGAGAGGCATTTGCTACCTGAACTTAATCCACAGGGCAAGAATGATTGAATGGAGGAGATTGGATATAGGGAGACTCAAGGGTAGAGGAAATCAGTTGAGCATAGTTTAAACAGACACAAAGCAGTATAAATGGTAACTCATGACAAAAAAAAAAAATCAGGGTGAGTGTTTATTATTGTGTATACTGGTTCACTTATTCAATTCTGAGAGACTACAAAGTGGAATAAACACCTGTCACAAAAAGAAATATAGTAGGAAAAGGAAGCAGGTATGTTTTTTGGAAATTCTAGATTTTTGTATCACTTCACAAAAGTGACGAGGAGAAAGATGCAAAACATATTCAGGCTGTAGGATGTCCTATGAGGAAGACAGTAGATGACATGACTGAGTAGGCAACATGATAGCTGTCTTCCTGTAGTTGAAGTCTTGTCATTGCAAGAAAGGTTAGGCATATTTTGGTAGGAATGACAGAGAGGAGGTTTTGACTTAGTATGAGGAGTGGCTTCCCAGTATTTAAAACTTGACAAGCATTGTTGGAGCAGCCTTGCCCAGCTCCCTGCTGCTGGATCAGTGGATATGTACTGTTGTAGAGGGATTCTTGCATTAAATGAGAGGATCTCAGTCACCCCTCTAATTTGCCTTCTCTGGAGCTTTAATTCACCTTGGAGAGGTTTGAAATGTTTTGCAGCTTGTTCAGGCTCAGACCTGAATGAGCTTTGAGGCTCCTTAGGCTTTGATAGAATGATACTTCTCAATAGCATGTACGCACATTGTAGGCCTGGGAATGGTTGCTGGTATATTTAGATTATGGGCAGCTGGTGTTAGCTAAGACATTTATTGGATTAGTCATCCCTAGTAACAATGATACGAAGTGTTTCTCCCGATTGTGAGTTGATATCTGTTATGTTGACTCTTTCAGTTTTATATTTATTTTTCTTTTCCATTCAAACACAGCTTAATGTGAAATCTTCTGGTTGGGAATCTGCTTCCCATGATAAACCACTATTTTTCTAGAGTCCACTGGTTGTTTCTATTTATGGATTTCAGTTTTGAGACATCGATTTATCATAGCTGTGGAAAACTAGCAGAAGGCTCAGAGTAAAGCCATGGAAACCATGAAGGACTAGGAAAACAAAATGAGAACATGTATTCTGGAGAGGTAAGGTTGAGGATAGAGTTTACACCTTTTTTGGCATGCCATTTTTTCCTAGTGCAGCTATTTAAATACATATACCTACATAGATGTTGATTAGCAGGTACAGAACCAACTGTGGTCTACTTGTTTGTGAAGGCTAATGTAGAGGATATCTTCTATCAAGACATGGGCATGAGCATCAAGATGTTCCCATAGCAGGCACTCTACCTTAACAAATCTTCATGGATTAAATTGAGTTCCATGTTAGTTCTAATATGAGCATCATGCTGCCAGTGAAGGTCATTAAACTTTAAAGTGTGTTCCCAGGGAATGCTGTGGCATCTTCATTTGAGAACATATTTTAAATTGGGTAGCTAATTATCTATTTAGAATAAAAGCAGATGAATAATTCTGAGTATGTTGTAAGGACTCATAGAGTTCTTCATTTCACTCATGTGTTTTGCTTGCATGTAAGCAAAGCAACAAATCCACAGTTCAAGGGCGAAGTAACAAATACATAAAAGACGACTACATAGAAAGAATTTCCTCATTGGAAATCTGTTTTCCTCCAATCAAAAAGAATGATAGTCTTAGTTCTGCATGATAAACATTCCTGACAAAAATGACCATCTATATTGCTCACAGTGCCTAGCATGTATGATAACCTGTTGTAGTTTGATTTGGGGGCAGACAGGATAGACTATAAATTTGGGTTTTCTTTAAAAAGCTACTGCATGTAAGACATACTGTTTCAGAACAAATAATGCCAATAGGAATTTATAATTTCAAGTTGGAATATAATTATAATTATATGGTTAGAGAAACTTTCAGTTTCTTTGTTTCTGGCTAATGAGTTCTAGAGCAGATATTTGGTGGTCACCTCCCCAGTATCCATTACTTCCCTTCTCCTAACACCTTGGGGTGGGGGGGATTGACTTCCCTCCCTTCTCAGCTAGGAAGCTTAGGTGGTGTTGATGCCACCACATGCCCTTAGGTGTAGGCTCTGATTGGCTTGTTCTAGTCATATCCCAGCCTCCCTGTCCGCACGACAAGAGCATGTAACACAATCATGCTAATGAGAATGTGAATCCAGAGAAGACTTTCTTTTTCTCTGGAAAGAGACATAAAGGTGTGAAGGCTAAAACTGCTGCATTTTGCTACTAGGAGGGAGAGCCCAGATCCTGTGAAGATGAAGCTGACAAGCTCTCTGTTCTTTAGTTTCCTCTTCTTTAAAATTGGGATGATATAGTACTTTCTTTTACATGTGTTGTGAAATTAAATTGGTTACCTCATGTAAGGTGCTTAGAATATCAAGCACTCAATAAATAATAAAAAGATTTATTCCCCTCCCCAGAGCCAATATAATAATTCTTTCAAACTGAGCCATCTGATTAATTATATTAATTTTTTGAATTAATTTTTTTCGTATTGGCTATATATACAAGCAATCTCTGCAAAATCTTCATTGACTTTTATTCCATAGAATTGGTTTTGCCAGTAATACAGAGTCATGTTAGCATTTAAACTTATATAAACATAGTCCTGGTGGTGTTTTAACATTAAACCTTAGGAGTCTGATCTTTGAAGAGCCATCTCTGGACTTCTAGAACCTCCAAAGTATCCTGATTCTTGCTTTCCAAACCCTCAGCTCTGTCTGGGAATAGTTTTGCAGAACCTTGGCAGTGAGAAGGAAGAGTTGTGATGCTAATTCCCAAGGCAGAGTCTGGAGTGATTATATCTTCAAATGATAATTAACCTGGGGGCATCTGTTGAGCTCAGTTAAGGCCTGGGCTAATCGAAGTCTGCAGATGCCTATGTTTAGAAGGCCATAACTGTACACAGTGGCTTCTGTGCTGTTCTTACTGTCCTAGTAACATTTTTTCCTTTAATATTGATGCTTATTTGCTTATTACCTTAAAGATAAGATTTACAGAGATAGAGAATAATGGTTAGAATTGATTCTAGAAGTTATAAATAATAGATTTTCCCTCGAAAAGCAAGGATTCCATTTTAATAAGAAATTTGTCAAGTTTTTGGTTAAATCTGACAGGACAAAGACATCTAATGTTTATAGATACTCTCATAGTGCCATGTGAAAGAGACAGAAACAATGTGAAGATATGTACATTTAGACCAAGAAGGGTCTAAAACATCACTTGCCTGTGGTTGGAAGAGTGGGATGGGAGAGGATGAGATAAGGAGGAACTTCCAGATGTTTACTTGGTGTACATCTGCATGGTTTGACTTTTATTTTATAGTGAATTCATGTGTTACTTGTATAATTTTAAGAAATTAACCTTGACATGTCAATACTTCCACCCAGGTTGAGTTATACTTTCTAAGATTAATTGTTTAGATCAGATTATAATAATCATTCCAGGTATTTATACTTGAGCCAATTGATGATTCAGATGAATTCAGAATTCATTAAACTTAAATGCTGGGTAGACAGCTAACTCCTTATTTATGTCTGGTATATTACATAATTTAATGTTTCTGAAAGCCCATTTTGCCTTTCTCTTTTTTCAGCACTCTCCCCCTCTCCTGGTTTTCCATACTACAGATATTTGGGTTGCATATACATCTGCAATGAATATTTTGCCTGAGAGGTTCATTCTGATATAAAACAGTATGTTAGATTTCCTGAATATTTATGACTTTCAGCTTTCACCAGTTCCTGCTGAATGAGAATCACTTGCCTGTGAGTGGGACGTTGCAGTAACCTCACACTCATGGCAATTAGAACTTGCTGCTGCAGTCGGATCTAGCAGCTGATGAAAAGTAGAAATTTTATGCTGGATGGGCCTTTAGGGACATTCATCCTAATCTTTCAGTTTTTATATGGGGAGAAGGAGGCCCAGAGAGCTAAGAGGAATTTTCAAGGTCCCTGTATTATATCTGGGGTAGATGAGAGCTAGAAGATAGTCCTGGCTCATTCTGCTTCCTGCCACAAGATGTGGTGAGGAGTCATCCAGAAGTCAGCCTGCTTGCTAAGTTTGCATCCTGGAAGCCGGAAACAATGTTGAACCACGTGGGATTTGGGGAATCCAGAAGATAGGAAGTGAAATTAGTGGAGTAGAATATGGTACAAATAGATGATAAAATGCAGGTTTAAACTGAGGAATATCCAACATCTGTATAGTAGTTGGAAAAGATGATTTTTTTTTCTGCTTGTAAAAATATATACTGCATTTAGAAAATTCCTGAAAGTACAGAAAAGAAAATTAAAATTACTCCTGATTCCATTGCCAATAAATGATTGAGACCGATATTTTGGGCCAGGGATGGTGGCTCATGCCTGTAATCCCAGCACTTTGGGAGGCTGAGGTAGGTGGATCACGAGGTCAGGAGATCGAGACCATCCTGGCTAACATGGTGAAACCCCATCTCTAATAAAAATACAAAAAATTAGCCAGGTGTGGTGGTGTGCACTTGCAGTCCCATATACTTGGGAGGCTGAGGCAGGACAATCACTTGAACCTGAGAGGTGGAGGTTGCAGTGAGCCGAGATCGCACCACCGCACTCCAGCCTGGGCAAGAGAGCGAGACTCCGTGTCAAAAAAAAAAAAAAAAAAAAAAAAAAAAAAGTAAAGAAAAAAAAGACTGATATTTTGGGATTTTTTTAAAAACATGTGCACACACATCAAATCAGATCATATTGCATATATGTTTTTTATGTAATATTATATGATGAGGCCAGGCGTGGTGGCTCATGCCTGTGATCCCAGGACTTCAGGAGGCTGAGGCAGCCTGATCACTTGAGGTCAGGAGTTCGAGACCAGCCTGGCCAACATGGTGAAAGCCCGTCTCTACTAAAAATACAAAAATTTGCTAGGTATGGTGGTGTGTGCCTGTAATCCCAGCTACTCAGGAGGCTGAGGCACGAGAACTGCTTGAACCCAGGAGGTAGAGGTTGCAGTGAGCCAAGATTGCACCACTACACTCTAGCCTGCGTGACAGAGACAGACTGTCTCAAAAAATATATATAAATCTGTATATTATGACACTTCCTGTATCATTGAGTATTCTGCAAAAATATGGTTTTTAAATGGCTAAATCTCAGATTAAAAAAATCATTTGAAGTGGAACCGTCGGAGCTGGACAATGTGGAATGAATCTGATAGAGAATTAAAAGAAAAGGGTCTAAGATTTGGTGCTGCAATCTGAGAGACATCAGCCTGGAATGAGTAGCGACAACAGCAGTGGAAAGCTGCCAGGCCACTGCAAGCGGCAGCATGACGTAGTTTAGAGGCAGGTGAAAGAAAGTCAATTCAAAGCCACATGCTTAAGACAATGTAATAGTTTTTCATTTTGTCCTCTCGCATTAACGTGCATTTATCATGCAAAACAATGTTTAGGCCACGGGCTGGCCACTCTAGGCTGCCTCTAGGTAAAGCCCTCATCCCCCAAGTGGAAGTGACTCAGTTACATAACCCATCCTTTGGAATTCAGGCCTTGATTATCCAGCCCACGTTGTCTTCCTTTGACACACAGTTGGCTGCATGTGATCCTTCTCCTAGAAGCAGGGTAATTAAAGGAGGAAGAGGTAAAATTGAAAACAGTCTAGTATGTCCCTTCTTAATCAGTTTTGCTAAAAGGTGCAATGAAGAATGAGGTAAAGTATTTGAAGTGCTTGGCTTTGTTTAGTTCACGTATTCCCCATTGCCATTGGTAATTGGGAGCCTGCCAAGTAGGAAACATGACTGTCACCTCAAAGATGAAAGTCAAATCCAGGATCCAAGGCCTGTGTATCATCTGTGGCTGTGAGGCAGCTTAAATGATTAGAGAGGGGACCACTTCTGAAAAGTGCTGAGAGAATGGGACACAGATGAAATCCAGCCCTTCCCAGTGCTCTGGGCTTAATATGCCTTTCTTTCCCTCTTTCCCCATTTCTACAGATTGTGAGTATATTAATCATTAAAGAAGCTAATCATACCTCAGTTCTAATGAATGAAACAGAATTCAGATAGGGAGCATAGTACTTTAGCTGAGAAGAGAATTTATGTAAGTATTACAGGAAATGTTCCTCAGTCTGATAAATACTCACAAGATACAGAGAGCAATAAAGATGGAAGTTCCCTTTGCTTTCTCTGTGTTTTCCCTGTGGGTTGGGTTGATGAGTCTGTTTCCAGCAGGGTATTGTTTCCTCCTGTGCAGAAATGCCAAATTTGCAGCTCTTGGTGGGGGATGAGCTTGGAATGTGATTTCTTCCTTTCTCCAGTAATTTTCTGCCTGCCTGCATGAAATGCTAACGAATGTCTCACACATGATGGAGCAATGAAATGTAGCCTTATTTTACTATTTTTGGCAGATTCTGACTTTAGAAGGTCTAGGTCTTAATGTAACAGTGACAAGATAGTGTTAGCAGACCCTGCTCCCCCTTCCTACAAATTTGTACTCTGTATACTCTGCTCCCTGTGCAGACCTGATGAGTCGTGTCACTGATTTGAGGCGAGTTCTATGTTTCTATGACATCCTCTGCATCCTATCTTATTCCACCATGCCTTCATGTCCAAGTCTCTGGAAAACTTCTAGCTCCAAGAAAAATAAGTCCTGAACTTCAATCTCAGACCAATTCAGACATCTATTATTAGTTGTAGATGAGTAGCATTCATGCCAGGTCTTATTTATTAATTAACTAGCTGGGGGTGGGATAGGGCATAAATAGGGAGTTGAACATGCTTATGGACTGCAGTTAAATGCCTAAATAATTTTATGATTACACCATCAAATGAATTGACTTGTAGGAGGGACTGAAGTGAAAACAGAGCTTCTGGTAATCAAATTTTAATTGAGGCTCTTGGCTGATTGATAGCGCCAGTGGGAGATCTTAATTTAGGCACGGTATCCTTCATTTGTGGAATCGATTGGTGGTACTCTGATACTCTGGCCACATCTGCAGGAGGGCCACCTGCAGATTCTGTGAGTGACAGAAGACTGCATGAGGCACAAGGGCAGAAACGTGCCAACAGCAGAGACAGAGATGCTGGTTTGAGGGAGGGCTGTCAGCAGTGACTGATGAGGAGCCCACACAGGCAATGTTGGGGTTCACCCTGCTTCCCATCTGCAACCCAAGGCTGCTTGTGGTAGTTGAACATAGTTTATTTTGAGAGTAGAAGAGTGAGAGAGACAAAAGAGGAGAAAGGTGGGGTTTGTAAATGCAGTAAAACTTGGATCCAGGGCAGAGAGAAAAGACTGCCTGGGGATGTATTCCTCAGTATGAATCCAGCTGATTCAGGGCCCCCTGGTCCTGGGGTTTAATTCAGACCCCATGTCTTCTATTTCTGTCCATCATCACCTTTTGCTGTCCTCATTCATCTTCTCAATGACCTTAGAAATTCTAGTGTTTGATCTGAAAGGTATAATCTGAAAGTCCATGGCTCAAAATGTGTCAATGAAAAGGCCCTTTGATCACTAATATACCCAGGAAAAGATGTTTCCTTTCTGTGTCTTAGTTTCTGTCATATGGGAAAGAACTCAAAAGATACCACAATGGATAAATAACTTAGAAATATACTAGGTCTGCTGTAGACCTGATTTCAGAAAAGCCTAGGGCAGTGACTGGAAATAAGTATAACCATTAAGAAAGATGAATTGTGAAATTCCTTTATTTTTCTGAAACAGTGTCAATATCTGGAGAAAAAAAATAATGAACTACCATTTGTGGCTAGAATAGCAAAGGCCAAGAAAGTATAATTGAAGATCATAAAAGTCTGAAGACTCTAGATTGGGTTGACATGCACTGGCCCAATCTAGGAACACAAGCTTGTGAACCTGTAGAATGTACCTCTCATAGAAAAGGAAGAATTTGAAATACAAACGGACTTAAAAAAAAAAAGGCTTAGATAAATAACAATAATGGGCTATAAAGGGAGGTTAAAGTTGCCTGGAGGGTACATTTTCATTTTTGTTTTTAATATTCTAAGTATTATTTTTTTAACTGATTAAATGTACATTCTTTTGTCAATAATTTGGAAAACATAAAGAAGAAAATAAAGATAAATTATAATCTTATTTTATAGACTTCTAACATTTTTAGCACTTATTTTTTTAAAAACTAAGTAATTAATTACTAGTATTGTTTTTACATATTTATGGGGTACAATTGCAGGTTTCTTACATGCATGTATTGTATTGTGGTGAAGACTTCTAACATTTTGATGTATTAACTCTTACTTTCCCACAGTATTTTAAAATTATCTTATATCATTTTGACTGTAATTTTGCATTCTGCTTTTATAAGTTACTTAAACCCAAAGAATTCTTCAAATCTTCTAGAAGTATTTATTTTAAATGAGCTTTTCAGATGTCATTGACTTTGGGGCACTTACTATTTTACATACTGCTAGGAAAGAAAAAAGTGTTTCCAATTAAACTGTGATACAAAACTTTAATGATAACTTTGCATGATATGTTTGTTGGTCACACCAGCCTTTTGACGCTTTGACATTTCTTTCATCTAGTTCAGGGATTTGGCAATAATTTTTCCTTTAGTTGCATTTCTTGGCATGTAAGAGATGCTTCTTTTGCATAATCCTCAGAAAACAAAATGTAGCACAGCATCATCTACTTAGGTTCATAAACCACATATGTGATTTATTGCTTTGGAACAAAATATGGCATAGTGATCATTTGTCCTATGGTGAATATTTGCTTCATCAACATAAAATGTACCCACTGTGTCTCTGTTTACATGCTTTTTTTGTGTGTACACAATGACTTTTCATCTCAATGCTGAATCACAGCGTTACATTTGAAGACATTTTATTTATTGTATTTAAAAATATTTAATTGACAAAGATTGAATATATTCAAGGTATATAACATGATGATTTGATATATGTATACATTATGTAACAATTACCACCATCAAATTAATAAACATATCCATCACCACTCATGCTGTACATTAGATCCTCAGAGATTGTTCAACTCATAACTGAAAGTTTGTACCCTTTGACCAATATCTCTCCATTTCCCTCATCTACTAGTCCCTGGTAACCACTCTACCCTTTGCTTCTATGAATTCAAAATTTTTAGATTCTACAGATAAGAGATCATTCACTATTTGTCTTTGTGTCTGGCTTATTTCACTTGGTGCAACGTCCACGTTCATTCATATTGTTACAAATGACAAGATTTCCTTCTTTTTAAAGGCTGATTAATATTCCATTACATATACATATATATCTCACATATTTGTTATTCATCCACTGATAAACACTTAGGTCGATTTCCTATCAATGCTATTGTGAATAATGCCACAATGAACGTGGAAGTACAGATATCTCTTCGTGATACTGATGTCATTTCCTTTGAATATATAGCCGGAAGTGAGACTGCTGGGTCATAGAGTAGTTCTATTTTTAATTTTTTGAAGAATCTCCATAATGGCTGTACTAATTTACATTTCTACCAACAGTGTATAAGGGCTCCCCTTTTCTCTACACCCTTGCCAGCACTTGTTATCTGTTGTCTGTTTCATAATAATCAGGTGTGAGGTGATATCTCATTGTGGTTTTAATTTGCCCTTCTCTGATGACCAGTAATGCTGTGCATCTTTTTATATACCTGCTGGCCATTTGCATGTCTTCTTTGAAAAGAAAAATGTCTATTCAGGCTCCTTACCCATATGTAAATTGGGCTTATTTTTTTTTTTTGCTATCGAGTTGTATGAATTTTTTTACATATTTTAGATTAACCTCTTATCAGGTTTTTGGTTTGCAAATATTTTTTTCCATTTTGTAGGTTGTCTTTTAATTTTCTCGATTGTTTCCTTTGCAGAAGTTTTTAGTTCATTGGAATCTGCTTGTTTATTTTTACTTTTGTTGCCTGTGCTTTCGGGGTCATGTCCAAAAAATCATTACTAAGACCAATGTCAAGGAGCTTTTTCCCTATGTTTTCTTTTAGGAGTTTTATGATCTAAAACATTACATTTAAATATTTAATTTATTTCAATTTAATTTTTATGTGTGGTTTAAGACAAGTGTCTAATTTCATTACTTTGCATGTGGATGTGCAGTTTTTTCAACACCATCTATTGATGAGACTTTTCTTTTCTTCATTGTATGATCTTGGCATCTTGGTCAAAAAACAATCGACTGGAAATGTGGACTTATTTCTGGCCTCTCTGTTTTGTTCCATTGGTCTATGTGTCTGTTTTTATGCTAGTGCCATACTATTTTGATTACTGTAGCTCTGTAAGAGATTTTGAAGTCAGAGAATTTATTTCTCCTGGCTTTGTTCTTTTTGTTCAAGATAGCTACTTGGGGGAATTTTGTGGTTCCATACAAATTTTAGAATTGTTTTTTCTATTTTTTTAAAAAAGTCATTGGAATTTTGATAGGAATTGCATTTAATCTGTAGATTACTTTGGGTAGTATGGATATTTTTAACAATATTAATTCCTCCAATCCATGAACAAATGGTGTCTTTTATTTGTGTCTTCTTCAATTTCTTTCATTAATGTTTTATAGTTTTAGTGTAGAGATCTTTCACCTCCTTGGTTAAATTTTTCCTAAGTATTTTATTTTATGTTTTGAAGATCTTATAAATGGCATTGTTTTCTTGATTTCTTTTGCAGATAGTTCATTGTTAATGTATAGAAACACTAACAATTTTTGAATGTTGATTTCCTATCCTGTCAGTTTACTGAATTTGCTTACTAGTTCTAATAGGTTTTTTTTGGTAGAGGCTTTAGAGTTTTCTTTATGTAAGATAACACTATATCAGCAAACAGAGACCACTTAGCTTCTTCCATTCCAATTTGAATGCCTTTTATTTCTTTGTCTTGCCTAAGTTCTGTGGCTAGGATTTCTAGTACTATATCAAACCGAAGTGCTGAGAGTGGGTATCTGGTCTTGTTTTGGGTCTCAGAAAAAAAGCTTTTAGTTTTTCCCCATTCAGTATGATGTTAGCTATGGGTTTGTCATATGTGGCCTTTATTATGTTGAGGTACATTTCTTCTACATCTAATTCGTTGAGTTTTTCTCATGAAAAGATGTTGAATTTTGTCAAATACTTTTTCTGCTTCTATTGAGATGTTTATACTCATTTTTTATACTTCATTCTGTTAATGTGGCGTATCGTGTTTATTGATCTGCATATGCTGAACAATCTTTGCATCTCGGATAAATCCCACATGATCAGGGTGCATGATCATTTCAACGTGCTGTTGAATTTGGTTTGCTAGTATTTTGTTGAGGATTTTTACATTTATATTCATTGGGGATATTGGCCTGTAATTTTCTTTTCTTGCTGTGTCCTTACCTGACTTTGTTATGAGGGTAGTGCTGGTATCATATGGTAAGTTTGAAAGTATTCCCTCATCTTCAATTTTTTAAAAAAGTTTGAGAAAAATTGGCATTAATTCTTCTTTAAGTGCTTAGTAGAATTCACCCCTGAAGCCATATAGTTCCAAGCTTTTATATATTGGGAGTTTTTTTATTCAATCTCCTTACTCATCATGGTCTGTTCAGATTTTCTATTTCTTCATGATTGCATGTTGGTAGGTTGTACGTTTCTATGAATTTATCCACTTCTTCTAAGTTTTCCAATGTGTTGGTGTATCATTGTTCATAGTAATCTCTGATGATCCTTTGTATTTCTGTAGTATCAGTTGTCATATCTCTTCTTTCATATAGGATTTTGTTTGAGGCTTCTCTCCTTTTTTGCTTGGTTAAGTTGGCTAAAGGTGTTTTAATTATGTTGATTTGATTTTTTTTCCCTAAAAACCCCAACTCTTAGTTTCCTTGATCTTTCCTATTATCTTTCTAGTCTCTATGCCGTTTATTTCTGTTCTAATCTTTATTATTTCCCTCTTTCTGCTGACTTTGGGCTTAGTTGGTTCTTCTTTTTCTAGTCCTTGCAGGTGTGAAGTTAGGGCAATTGAAATCTTTTCTTTTCCTTTATGTAGGTTATTTGTTGCTATAAACTTCCCTTTCAGCATTGCTGCTGCTGCAGCTCATAAGATTTGGCATGTTGTGTTTCTGTTTTTGTTTGTCTCAAGATACTTTTTGATTTCTCTTTTGATTTCTTCTTTGATCTATTGGTTGTTCAGGACTGTGTCGTTTAATTTCCACATATTTGTAAATTTTCTGAAGTTCCTCCTATTACTGAGTTCTAGTTTTATACCTTTGTGGTTAGAAAAGATACTTGAGACAATTTCAATATTGGAGACATTTTAAATAGCAGCTAAATCAACATGTGTGGTACCAACAATGTACATAATTCAGTTGAGGTAATGACAACACAAATGTCTGTCATCATGTTCATGCATGCATGGTAATGACAACTCCTTTGTACTTAACTGATAATAAAATGCCATCAGCTGATGGGGATAATAATATGCCAACTACTATAAGACATATTCCAATTTCAGAGATGCTAAAATGTGGAAAAGGTGCATCTTAACATCAATGGGTTTAATTAACCTGAATTTAATTAACCATTTTACTATTCTGGGCTATTAAAAATAAAATTTATTTATAGAAAATAAACTTTTTTTCCTTATAGGAAATTTTAAATAGTATTTTTCTTTGCATTTGTGATTTTTTTGGGAATAGATTCTGAGAACTGAAATTATTTAGTCAAAGAATATAAACATTTTTAAGGTGTTTGATCTTTATTTCTGAATTGCTTTACAGAAGGTAGTTCAAACTATACAGTCTTATGAACAATGTTATTTCAGCATTCTAAACTTCACTTTATAGAAAAAAGCTGGCATAGGTGGCCTGCAAGGTGGCCCCAATGATCTGAAGCGATGGCATGTGACTTTTGAGGCAAGGGCTGACACAATTGCAGCTTCTACCTTGTTCTTTCGGACACATTCTGTGGGAAGCCAGGTGCCAGGTTTGGCAGATACTCAAACAGCCTGTGGAGATGCCCATATATGGAAGAAACAAGACTGACAATGAGAACCAACCTGTGAGTAAAATGCCTTAAAAGTGGATTCTTTTGCCCGTCAGGTTTTCAGATGTCTAAGGCCCTTATTAACAGCTGAGTTGCAACTTCATGAGAATCCCAGAGCCACAACTGCCCAGCAAAGCCACTTTCATGTTTTTGACCCACAGAAACTATGAAAGATTATAAATGTTTATTATTTCTGCTACATTTGGGGGTAATATATTATGCATAAATAGATAATGAATACAATAATGGCATTGTTTAATAAAATATGCAAAGATGTCACTATCCAAAAGAGAGTACATCTCTAGTGGGCCATTGATTTAATTATTCGTGGCAAGTCTTATATTATTATGAGCACTTGGAGTTTCAATCTTAGCTTATTAGCTATGTGAACTTGGTCAATTCTTTTAGTCTCTTCGGTCCTGAGTTTTTTTTTTTTTTTTTTTGTCTTTCAAAGGAGATAATGATACTAGCCTTAATTTCTTCAGATGTGTATTTTAAATTAAAAAGAAAATTTTGTGTTCTATAAAATTTGAAATTTTCAATTTTAACTTTAAAATTTTCAACTTTTAAAATCACAAGGAACATAAACCAGGTAAATGGATAGTATTTATTTATATTTTACTTATTTTAGAGCTTAATTTTAAATAGATAATACTATTTATACAGTTCAAAATTAAAAGGTACACAAAATGGTAGGTATTATAAAGCCATCTTCCTAGCCTAGACATTATATTCTCTACATTATATGGCCCATGGGGATAATAAACATTGCCAGTTTTTCTGTTATCTTTGTTGATATATTTTATAAAACCACATATAAGATATCTATATCAATCTTCTCTTAAAAACACAAATGATAGTAGAATTACTTTTTTGTCACTTGACTTTTTTCTCTCAATAATAAAATTCAGAGACCATGATATTTAGTATGTGGCCTAAATATTTTTTCTTAAACTGTATCTTAAAATTTCTGTTCTGTTATTTCATTTTCTTTTCAGAGACTCCAATTATTTATATGTTTGATCTCTGCCTTAGCCTATTTGGGGTCTTATAACAAAATAGCATGAATTGGGTAGCTTATAAACAACAGAAGTGGCCGGGCGCAGTGGCTCACACCTGTAATCCCAGCACTTTGGGAGGCCGAGGCAGGCGGATCACAAGGTCAGGAGATCGAGACCATCCTGGCTAACACGGTGAAACCCTGTCTGTACTAAAAATACAAAAATTAGCTGGGCATGGTGGTGGGCACCTGTAGTTCCAGCTACTTGGGAGGATGAGGCAGGAGAAAGGTGTGAACCTGGGAGGCGGAGCTTGCAGTGAGCCGAGATGGCGCCACTGCACTCCAGCCTGGGTGACAGAGCGAGACTCCATCTCAAAAAACAAAAAACAAACAAAACCCCCCCCCCCAAAACCCCCAGAAGTTTATTTCTCACAGTTCTGGAGGCTGGGAAGTTCAAGATCAAGACACTGGTAAATTCAGTGTTTGGTGAGGGCCCACTTGCTGGTTTATAGATGGCTATCTTTTACAGTCCTCTTATAGTGGGAGGGGAGAGGAGTCTCTCTTGGGCCCCTTTGATAAGGGTACTAATTCCATTCATGAGAACTTTAACCTCATGACCTAAGGAACACCCAAAAGTCCCAAACCCTAATACTATTACCTTGGGGTTTAGGATTTTGACATATAGAATTTGAGGGTACACAAACATTCAGATAATTGCAGTCTCCTTTACCTGTATTCCATATTATTCATTTTTTCTCTAATTGTTTTTAGCTCTTTATTTTTGTTCCTTTATTTCTACGTTTTATATCTTTTAGTGTTCATTTTTGCCAATGTTGATTTACCCTTGTGTTCTTTACAGTTTTGTTGTCACTTTCATGATGATTTTATTTTTTTCTTTTATTGTTCTTCTGATATTTGAGAGCTCCTGTTTCACTTCCGACTATTGTCTCACTAATTATTCCTTATTGCTTAGTACTCTCACTTGATAGAGCATTACACTTTATGGCCAAATTTTTACCTCATCTATGGCTTCCTTTTTCTGGTGACATTCTTTTTCTGCTATCATTTTTCCAGTTCCTATCCTCATATTACCTTTGGAGGCACCTTTTGTACATCCTTTTTGTATGTGAATCATAAAGCATAATAATGTATGACCTGTGAACCTATCTCTTAGTATGCATTCCATTTAAAATTTTCTCATGTTGAAAGAGATGGATTTTTCCTGGGCCAACATTTTGGGGGAATGATGGGAGGAGGAGGCGTGTTGCATTCTAGTCTGGATGGATTTTTTTCTTATTATCTAGAATTTTATAACTTATTTTGCCTTTACTCTGGACCAAAACAGATAGATAGGCTGCTGTAGTTTTTGTTCTTTTTCATAATGTAACACCTCTCTTCTCCCTGTCTCCAATTATAGGAACAGACAAAGATGGCTTATTTGTGCCATTCTTCATTCAGTTCCTGCTTCTTTTAGATGAGAATAGGTATAGAGAAAATGCTGTCATCCTGTGCACCTCTATCCTACTGGAAATAGAGGGTATACCTCATGTACCCTTCACTTTGAAAAAGCCTACTTTGTTGGCTTTTTCTCAGATCTGCAGTCTTAGTGACCTATTACTCTTCTCTATGCTTTTGAAAGTTTTTCATTTTATTTGGATTTAACTATTTTCTACTACTGTTCAAAATGGATTTTGCTTTTCTGTTTCTTATTCTCCTTGGTACTTCTAGTTGATTTCCAGGAATGGTGGGGTGGTGATGGTGGTGGTGGGGAATTCTGACTTTATACCATCTTTATCAAACCTGAAGTTACATTTTAAATTTTTTTTGTGGTGCTCATGTGTAAAATATTTGTAGTCCTTAGGTTCACCCTAGGGTGAACTAGGCTGGATCAGGTGGCTAGCCTCCATATTCCTTCTTTCTCCTTAGACCATGTCCCCTCCTTCATTCACTTTACAGAAATTGTTGTGCACGCTATTACATGTCAGGCACTGCAATAAGCACTGGAAAACAAAGACTAAACCAAACGTGAGTTCTATCCACACAGAACTTGTAAGAGGTTATGACAATTAAACCAACAGAAGCAGAGCTTTCTAAAACAATTTTTTGATGGGAGACTGATGTCTATTAAACATAAATAGAGATATATGCTGATGCTATAGAAGAGAGGTTCCTGAAAAACAGGATGCATTGGGATGCAGAACACAGAGAGGATTAACCTTGGGTGGAGAAGTCAGTGGCAGCCTAGTGGGAAAAGCATAGGCTCTGGAGACTAATTCCCTCCATTCAAAACTGACTTTTGCTCCTTCCCAGCTGCATGAACTGGGGAAACTACTGAGCTTCTCTATGCCTCAGTTTCCTCATGTTTTGCTCACAAAATGAGACTATGTAATGCATAGTTGTATATAAACCACAATAAAAAGCAGCATAGTAGAATGCTTAAGAACATATATTTTGGAGAAGGTTGCTTGTCTGACCTTGGATACATTAGCAAATGTTCTTGTGCCTCAGTTTCTTGATTTATAAAATAGGGGTGATAATAATGTCTATTTCATAAGATTGTTATGAGACTTAAATGAGTTACTGTATTTAAAGTGCTTCTAATGTTGTCTTGGAGATAAAACAAACCATGTAACTATGCCTGGAAGGTAGTAAGCACCATCTAAGTATTTGCCAAATAAGGCATTTATCATCATACCCGAAATATAGAAAGTACTAAAACATAGTAGCTATTATAGCAGAAGGGGAAAAGTAAGTAGGTTTTGTGGCAGGAACCTGGAGTATTTCCTGTGATAGCTTCTATAGGCAGTCTACTTTTGAGAGGGAAGGAACAGATCAGAGGTTTAGGGAGAAAGGAGAAGATTTGAAATAGCTGCTGTTGAGTTAGAAAAAAAGAGATGGCTGAACCGTGTTGCCTAGTTGAGGTTAAATAACGCAATGACTCATAGAGGTACAAATACAAGCATCTGTCTTGTTTTATATAGCAATACTTGGTGGCCTGGTTCTAGGCACAGACAAGGCAGATTGATATGAGGCTGCAGTTCTCCCAGATGTGACAGAACAGCATCAGGGCAAAGAATTCAAGAATGTTGGCAAAAGGTGGTTAAAGCAATAGACCATAAAGACTATGTTGAGTAGGGAAGGAAATAAAGAGAGGAGGAAGTAAAGAGTGAAGGCACAGAGTTCCAGGTGAGGTAGAAATGCAATTGTAGTGGCAGCAAGTGAATGAGATGGATGGAGAGGAAAAAAAGTCCCTTGGAAATGCACACTGAAGAAAATAAGAAAGCATTTCTTCATAAGGAAGAATAAGTTTAATCTACCCATTTCAGTCATCTGTAGGGCAGAGACAGCTTTAAAGTGGGAGTAGCCTCAGGATCATATTATTTGCAACATTAGAGGTAGAGTGGGAAGAGAGGTCTCCAAAGAAAATGGTTCTTATGGGCTCAGAGGTCTAGCCATTTTACTTTTTCATGTGCAAGCCCTACTCTCTAGCATGGCAGACCATTGAGAAGAGTGACTTTCAGGGTGGCGTATATGTGTGTGTGGGAGGGTGTGAGAACATGGAGAGAGTTAGGAGAGTAGCCCCTAAAGGTGATCAATGTTCTTTGAGATCAAACAACCAAGAATTTTAGAGAAGACACTGCAGTCATAATGCTGTTGATGCAAGCAAACGTCTTACAAAAAATGAGACTTTTCTAGATTCTATGATGAAGGTGGAAGGTCTGCATTAAATCTGGGTCAGTATCATGTATTATACTCCTCAGTAAACCTACATTATGTTGTATATTAAACAGAGCCTTTTAAAATAACTAACATTCCTTTTGCTGTGGAATGTATCCATTTCCCTTGAGTTGACATGTCTGATCTGTGAGGCTTTGGGCCTTTGCCTTGCAGTTGCTTTATATGGGTGGGATCCAAATGCATGTCAAATTGAATATTGCTAGATGTTGAGAGTTTAGGAGAAAATAGGCAGGGGTGAAATATCTCTGAGTTATAGTTGAAGGTCACTGTGGCAATTTGATTCAATTCAATTCAACAATTATTTACTGAGTGTTAACTCAGCATAAGTCAAGTGGTTTAAATAGAGTGGTCACTGAAGAGTGGTCACTGCCCTTGTGAGGCTCACAACTAAGGGACAGGACAACCCATTCCAACTTGCCTGCAATGTATCTTCATCTTCTGTCATAAACTGTAGGGTTATATAAGGTTTCTTAGAATTCATTAATTGAATCATCTGTTCATTCAATACATTTTGTTTGTTTGTTTTGAGTTCTGTGGTATGTCATGCACTGGTGGTTGGAAACTCTTGATCAGCTCCTGTGACGTCCAGATGAACAACCTGTCATCAATATAATTTCCTAAGATTCTAAGAGTTAAATAGGGTTTGTCTTCTTTAAGTCACCCAAGACCCCAAAGGTCTATGTCCTCTCCCAGGAATAGAAACACTGTTTGTGATGGTGTCTTCATCGTTTTTTGGTACCTTCTATCTGCATGCCATCCTAGTGACCCTCAGAGATCATGTTTCAGAACCATGGAAATTTACAGGAATTAGAAAGCTTGGAATTAGAAGAACTTGGTTTGAGTCCGGTTCTTCCGTGGTCTAGCTGTGTGTGATCTTGGTAAATTGCTTAGCTTTTCTCAATCACCATGGTTCTCATCTTTTCCACAACAAGCTTATAGATATTATTCTATCCATTTTACATTAAAAAATCTGAGGCTTAGCAAGGTTAGGTAATTTTCCCATGAGCCAGGGTTCAAATGCATGAAGTCTGACTTTGGTGTCCATGCTTAAATACTCCTTTATGTATGTCAATTATGAAGAGTTGAACACACTATCTGGTACATAGAACATACTCAATAAAATATAGCTGTTATTTTGGCTATCATAACTGAGAACAAATACAATGGAAATATTTGCTAAAGGTGGAAACAAAACTGCACCAGTTATTTTGGAATAAGGAATCTTTTGTATTTGACCTTGGACCCCAACCACATGTAAGACTAACCTTGACTAGAGTGGCAAATGTCATTTATAATTGAAGGACCTAATTTTTATAATTCTATTTCTGCTGTAATGAAAAATTACACTTTTGACATTTTCAATTAATGCTCTAGATAGCCCTGTATTGACATATATTGTACTAGGACCCTTAAACCAAGAGCTAAAATAGAGAGATGAATCCTTAATCAATGAATTACAGATCCTGGTAAAATGTTAAATTTAAATAAAACATCCACAATTAGTACTGTTTTGAGGTCTTTAAGAATGTTTATATTCTACATGTACTAAATAATAGGGCTAAATGCATGTAGATTTTCATAAAGGCAACACCTATGAAAATCTTTGCCTAATGTTGCACTATTATGTTCAGTATGGAGAGATGCAGTCTAATTTTCTTATAATTTCCTCCCCTATCTTGCTAGCATTTTGTAGGTTAATCCTTTGTTAACACAGCTTCTTAGAGTGCTCTTGTTTTTCACTCACAAGTATTATTTTTTTCTTTATCTACCATAGAAAGATTGTCCTCATTCAGTTGCATTTAGGTAGGAAAGAGATGTTCAAATGCCATGTTTAAGAATGTCTTTCCCTTTCTTCCCCATTTCATTCTGTTCAAGTTTTCTGCTGTATCTGAAATAGCCTCTAAGTCCCCGGGGATGATGAAAAAACAATTTTATGGCAGAAGGTAGAAGAAAAACTATTGTAATTTTTTTTGTATGTGTGTGTGCTTATTTTTCTTTTTCTGAGACAGGGTCCTGCTCTGTCACCTGGGCTGGGGTACAATGGCATGATCCTAGCTCACTGCAGCCTTGAACTCCTGGGCTTAAGTAATCCTCCCTTCCTCAGCCTTCAGAGCAGCTGGAGCTACAGGTATGTACTACCATGCCTAGATAATTTTATTTATTTATTTTTTTGTAGAGACAGGGTCTTGCTATGTTGCCCAGACTTGTCTCAAACTCCTGGCCTCAAGTGATCCTCCTGCTTTGGCCTCCCAAACTGCTGGGATTACAGGCATAAGCTACCATGCCCTGTCCATTTTTTGTATTTTACAACAGAGGATGAAACTTCATTTTTAATTATAATTTTGACCCAAATCATCTTGTTTATGTAGACAAACAGGTCAGTGACTTGTCCACATATCTATCCTCACAAGTCGCTGGGGTGGGCAAACAGCTTGTGATATGTCCAGCAAAATATGTGTTCTGTTTGATTTTCCACAGAAGTATGAAAATCCAATTTAGATAATATCCATTAATGGGCCCATTAAAAAGAATGTTCTTAACCTTCACCAAGTAAAGAAAAACTTATTCAAGGGCTGCTGGCAACACTGAGCTACGGCTTAGGAGATTTTCACCAGCGTGTTGTTAAGATTCCAAAGTGTGGAAGGACAATGAAAAATGCAAATTGGAACCAAAATATTCCAGGTTTTGAATGAAGAAGAAAAACTTATTGCTCCACACTTACATGAACACTTATAAACATGCAAGAAAAATAGTTTGTGTTTTTAGAGGATGTGTCAGTTCTTTGAGCTGAGGGAAGTCAGATTTTAGGCCTGGGACCTAACTGGAATCACTTGTTACTCATAATTTAGTATTTTACTTTTTTGCAAAGTTCATTACCTTTCAAAGTCAAATAAAAATTTTAAAAAATAGAAGACATCCTTGTTTTGCAGCACTGTAAATTAGAATGTACTATGGATTTTGTCAAAAGCAAATGAGAGTATTTGAAAATTTGTTTAAGATACTCTGCTGATGTGTACTCTGGTATATCATCCTTTAAATATTTTTTCTAAGTGAATTTAGACAAATTGACAAATCAGAAATTTTTTTTGGGAACTTGTTAAGAAACTCCAAAGTTGTACCTCTTAGTGTATATTTATTGAAAATTGCAAGAGCCAAGAAAAGGAGAGTTTATTTGGAGTCTCAGAATATATAATTAAATCACTCTGCTTTGTTTCATAAAAGTGACTGAAGACTAACAGAATCCATTTCTATCTCTAGTATGATGCTGTTCATGATAGAGACAATTCATATGATATAGAAGTTAATCTTCCCAATGAAAAAATGTTATAAAGTTTTCTGCTTCTGTTACTGAATCACGATTTTTTCATGTTTTTCTCTCCAGTGCATTTATCCTTACTAGAAAACTCTATCAGAAACCCCCAATCATCTGAGTAGGTAGACAGCCATAAAAGTAACCACATGCTTTATTAATGATGGGGGAAATGGCAGATTAACTTCTTTCTTAAAAACTAAAAGGCATCTAATAACATGTGCTTTGATTTTACCCAGGTATGAGGGTCTGGAAAATTTCTTATTTAAATATACGGGTATTTTTATGGGGCCTTTTAAATCTTTGCCTTAATACTGTAGTTTCCTCCATATGTTTACTGTCAACTAACAGCTTAGAACTGATAAGCCATGTGGAAATGTTTTGTAAAGCTGCGGTTCTTCTTTGTGACTACTGCTTCTTTTATTAAAGTCGAACTTCTTCCAAAAAAGAATGCAATTTGTTTGCATATTCTTGTCTGCAAAATATGGCCAAGTATGGGTACCTTTTACATGATAGGAAAGAGGGTTTAGTTAGGTGTCTTTTAGTGTGATTAGAATGGATGTGACATGCACATGCTTGTGTTTTGGGAAGATCACTGGCTGCAGTGAGGGAGATGAGATGAGGTTGGAGCCAGGGAGACTAAAATGGGGAGAGTTACACAATCCCTGGGAGAAATAGTGATGGACTGGATGGAGGCAGTAGGAGGGAAATGGGGAAGAGGGAACAGAATTCAAGAATGTCCTGGGAAGTAGATTCATTGGAAGGGTGTACCAGGGAGGAAAAAGGATTTATTATGATTCAAGCATCTTCCTTGGTTAATAGTAAATCACATTCCTGGAGATAGAGAAAGCAGAGGAGAGGTACCTTTTGATACCTGCACATGGTTGGCCTCACAAAGTGCTGGGATTACAAGTATAAGCCACCATGCCAGAACTATATGGAAGCACTTTCTAGGAGCAGAAACACAATGTGAGATGCAACTACCTCTATGTGTCTTCAGCTGCCTCCCC
The DNA here is from genome assembly GCF_000001405.40 of Homo sapiens. NCBI lineage: Eukaryota > Metazoa > Chordata > Mammalia > Primates > Hominidae > Homo > Homo sapiens. Next base: position 76,774,885 of record NC_000013.11, on the reverse strand, counting down.
ATTAGAGAGAGCTGTTCTGCCCAACATTTAAGAAGTTATTTGTGTTTGGAGAGGATGAGGGCTGGATGAAGGCACTAGATGGCTTCTAAGATTCCTTAAAGTCTGAGAACTTGTGATTTTGAGAAAGTGGTTTGAAAAATTTAAGCTCAGCTTCAAGAAGACAGGAAGTACCACACTATAGTGACAGAACACACATGCACAGTGAGGAAAAATGGAAATTCCCCTTCATGTTCTCCCCAAATTGTGACAGCATAGTCCCCCTCTCACCACATTGCAATATTCAGGTACAGACATTATGCATTATGTGAATTAACCATTCTGAGGAATGATCAGACAACTTTGCACTGTTACCCTATTTGTATTTGAAAATATAGTTATGTTTATAGTTGTTTGTAGTCTGATTCTTATTCTAAATATTATTTTCCAGCAAAGATATGATGTTTCATAATACAGATTTGTGACTCTACTAATTCTACATCAAACTTGAATATATGTTAGAAACGTTCGCTCTTATTGTGGGACCACAATGCCCTATCTGTTGTACCAAAGAGGACTTGGACAGGAGTATCCATTGTTCATGGGGAATTCTTAGGAATATATTCAATGGAAATAACCAAATGTGTCGGTCACATTTGATTCTATCACAGTCAGGCAGGTGTGGCAGGGTCAAAAAGGGTATAACTTATTTTACAGAAAAACATTTTTGATGGGACATGTAGATTCAAATTAGCATGTTGGGATTAGAACTAGTAGACTTGACTGAAAGTCGGAGGGGCTGTTTATATAATTTCTTCTTCTCGAATACATGGTCTTTATTATACTAAATTACAATTTGCATCATTCAAATGCAAATGAATTTTCAAAAGCCCTGTGTGGGCTTCACGTAATTCTTTTGGGCAAGCATTGCTCAATGTTTCACTTACTCGAAAAGGATTCAGTGATTCAACTGATTCCATGAAAAAAAAAGTGAATTTGAAAGTGCTGTTCATATTGGAAGGGATGGTATAATCATATCAAATTCACATCTGGTTTTATTTTGCTGACTGTTTCTCCTCTTGGCTTTCCTAAAGTATATGTGCCCTATGGGATATAATGCTCTTTACTTGACTTTCCCTTATTTCCCGGAGTCTGATTCTTCTCAGAGTTATGCTCCCAATTAAATATTGACTATAAAAGTAAGGAACACAAAGGAAAGTTTTGAAAAGCATAACAAACTAACAATGCTATTATGGAAATGTGGGAATTCATTCAACAGTAACACTTCATTTTTGGCCTTAATGAACCAATCTTGCAGCAGACCAAAGTGCTCATAATGCAGGTCACTTTGTAAGTCACCAAACCTCCCTTAGCAGTTTATTTTAATGTCTTTTGTTCTAGCAGGAAGGAAAATAGTCCCACAGCTTTTAATACTCTCCAGCTGTTCATTCGTAAAGACTTCAACATGAAGCTTATAGGGAGAAAATTGTGTACTTGGTTTAAATTCTACAAGAGACTCTAAAAAGGCCTGAAGTTCTTCAGCCTCCACTCTCAGGATTTGTACCTTTCTGATCAGCCCAATGACACTTACATTGCTTCACAGGGCTTTACTGTGGTGATTCTTTGGTCACCAGTTCAGGTTACTTAGGGAACAACTAGGAGGTGTCAGATATTCTTCAGATTTTTTTCTGAACAGGTTTTATTTTTATTGTTATTTTTTTCAAGTGGAGAACATGATGTTGTTCTAGGCAAGTCTTATGAAACATCCATCATGAAGGCTGTTTCATGATAAAAAGAGTGCATGGGAGAAATAAGTTTGAGAAATAAATTTAGAGCTTAGAATTAGAAACAGCCTGTTAAAGGGTGCTATGGTCTGAATGTGAAACTTAATCACCAACTTGATGGTATTCAAGTGTGGGGCCTTTGGGAGGTGATTAAGACATGAAGATGGAGCCCTTATGAATGGCATTAGTGACCTTATACAGGGAGCTGTTCACCCCTTCTGTCCTTCCACCTCTTCTTCCATGTGAAGACATAACATTTGTCCCTTCTGCCTTTTCCATTATGTAAAGATGTCTTAAAACAATGCCATCTATAGATCAGGCCCCCACCAGACACAGAATCTGCTGCTGCCATGATCTTAGACTTCCCAGCCTCCAGAACTGTGAGAAATAAGTTTCTATTGTTTAAGAGTTACCTAGTCAAATGTGTTTTGTTATAGTAGTAGGAATAGACTAAGACAGAGGGTCTGAGAAATTCTGTGGTAAAGAAATCCTGCTTAACTCTGCTTAAGCCAGTAGCAGAGCACAGTATTTAAGAGCACCAGGTTTGAATACAGGACAGACTTGGTCTCAAATCAATCCCAGATTCAGTGTTAGCAATGAAACCTGGCCAAGTTACTTCCCTGTACAATAGGAATTCCCAGCTGTGCAAGGGGATTAATAAGACCCATCTCACTGGCTTATTGTAGAAAGTATTCTATAATGTAGAATAAAACATTTGGCAAGGTGCAGGATCATAGTCAGTATGAATACTCATTTTTAATACAATGTTATCTTATTTGACTGTATGACTTTTTGGGGCAACACATAAAAAACTGCTCTACTAAGGGAATATGATGAGAAATGCTAGTCCGGCAGACTGATATTGGCATCAATACTTTCAAAGAATGGAGAGGGCCAGGACTGCTTATATCATGTGAATTCTCTACTAAATTGGCTGATACCTTTCTCGTAGTGCTGTCTCATGGGCAAAAAAATTACAGAATTTTTAGCAAATTAAGTAAAATTGGATTTAAAATGAAATATACAGAGGTTATTATAAGGCCTATATTCTGTCTTGAATATCAAAAGCTAAGTTCTAGGATATAAATGTCCAGAAAGAAGCCTCAAGAGAATGAGAAAGAAGAGAAATTTGTTTCCTTATGTCAAGAAGAAATTCATGCAAAATTTTAACACCTATTGAAAGAGGATTGGAGCCATCTGTTTTTTCATGTTTAATCACTTTTAAAGGTTATTTTTAATCGACTCAATAAGTGCACATATACAGTGTGATATTTCAATACAATGTATACAGTGTGTAATGATCAAATTAGCATAATTAGCAAATCTATCACCTCAAACATTTATTTATTTATTCATTTATTTATTTGCGTTGGGGACATTTAAAATCCTCTATTCTAGCTTTTTGAAAATATGCAATGAATTGTTAACTAGAGTCATCCTACAGTGCTAAGGGACGCAGAACTACTTATTTTTCCTATCTTTCTGTTATTTTGTGTTTGTTAACAAACTTCTCCCTAGCCCCTCCTCACTATCTTTCACAGTCTTTAGTAACCACTATTCTATCCTCTATTTCTATGAGATGAAAAATTTTAACCTTCACATATGAGTGAAAACCTGTAGTATTTATCTTTTTGTGACTGGCTTATTTCACTTAACATAATGTTCTCCAGGCTCATCCATGTTCTGACAATTATGGCTGAATAGTATTCCATTGTGTGTATGTATCATTTTCTTTATCCATTCAACTGTTGATGGACACTTAAGTTGATTCCATATCTTGGCTGTTGTAAATAGTGCTGCAATAAACATGGGAGTGCAGGTATCTTTTTGACATACTGACTTCCTTTTCTTTGGATAGATATCCAGTAGTGGAATTGCTGGATCATATGTAATTGTATGTTTAGTTTTCAGAGGAAACTCAATACTATTTTCCCTAATGGTTTTACTAATTTACATTTCCACCAACAGTGTATAAGAGTTCCCCTTTCTCCACATCCTTGACAGCATTGGTTATTTTTTGTCTTTTTTATAATAGCCATTCTAGCTGGGGTGAGATGATATTTCATTGTGGTTTTGATTTGCATTTCTCTGATGAGTGATGGGTATTGTTTTATATACCTGTTGGCCATTTTTGTGTTTTCTTTTGAGAAATATCTGTTCAAATCATTTGGCCATTTTAAAATTGGATTATTTTGTTGTTGTTACTGAGTTGTTTGAGTTCCTTGAATATTCTGGATATTAATCCTGGAGCCAAGTCATCTTTTAGAACAAAGATGAAGTAAATTAAACATTGAATCATCAAACTAATAATCAGCTCATCATTAATAAGGATCTTGTGGGTAATTGGTTTTTGAAAACATTTGAATTGTAGGAAAGTTTGTGTTTAACTCCAGTAACTGCTCTTTTCATTTTCTTCTCGCCCTCTGAGGTACCCCCACCCCTTTCCTTAGTTCCTCCTTACCCTAAGCACTTTCCTCAGATGAGATAAAACCAATTGAGACCTGCTTTTAGTTAGCTCAATTTTTGAAAGGATCTGGCAATTAATTCATGTATAAGTATAAAGCAGGGTTTCTCAGCCTCTACTCTGCTGGCAGTTTTGCCTGGTTAGTTCTTTGTTGTGGGGGGCTGTCTTGTGCATTGTAAGATATTTAACCAAATCTCTGGCTTCTACCCACTAGATACCAATAGCTTTCTTTGTCCTAGTGGTGACAACAAAACTATCTCCAGATATTGCCAAATGATTCCTGGAGGGCAAAATCCGTCTCCTCTCCAATGAAAACAATTGAGTACGAAGATTTTTTACAACAGTTAAATCTGTACCACTGTCTGAGTTAATTTCTCCTTTCATCATGTGTAGTTTCTTAATTACCAAAGACAAAACTCTGAACAGTAAATCATTTACAACAAAGAGGTCAGGGAAGGATGGCTTTGTACTCTAGGTAATCATATTGGTGACATGGATATCTCCTTTATTTACCAAGTAGGCCAAATCTATTAGAGCAAGTAAACCTCCCCCTCAGTTAATGACTTCAGACAAGGCTTGAGGCTTCATCTACATTCATATTAAATTTTGAGTTCCATTTCCCATCCTTCACTGCAAATATTTTTAATGGTTGAGCATTAAACAATAAAAAGGATTTCCACTAGTCAATTGGACTTGGTCATTAATAAAGCAGAATGGATTGGCTGGTAGCTTTTGTCCTTAATAACTGAATTAGGTATATTATTTCAACAAACCATATTGCAAAACAGCTCTTCTAACAAAGGCAAAAAATAAATTCTAAATGGGTGATATTTCAGGGTATCTCTAAATACACATTTGGCATTGAATCCAAAAGAAGAGCGGCTGAGGTCCAAAGACTGCTGTTTTTTTCTTCAATTTGCATTTGGCTTTGTGGGTTAGATCTTTCTGCATGCATGTTTCCCCCTTTTTTGCTCCTCAGTTGTGGTTCTTCTCTCTGAACTTTTGCTTAACAAAGAGGAAAACGTACTGTGCAGTAAAAACATTGGCTGTAAATCATTTTAGCTATAAAATGTAGCTGCTTGGAGCCCAGTAATTGGGCCTGTGGTTCTGAAAATAAGGACTGCCAACAACTGAATGTGTTGTTTAATTGGTCCACAGGGAGAGACCCTGAGAGTGTCCAAGAGATGGTTTTTGACTTCCTATTGTTTTAGTTTTTCCATGGGACCTGCAGGATTCCCTTGCTAACCGTTTACCACAACTGGCTGTTTATTCTGTGTGGTAAAATACCACTGGCACCACAGAATTCATAGCACTGACAGAAGGGGAGTCTTTCAAAGGCGTGCATGCTTGGCAGGCAAAAATATGTGCACTTTGTAGATTCAGTGCAAAGTAACTAGGAACATTTCTTTACGATCTCAGTGTGGCTTGGGACACCAGCCACAATGTTATCTGTGAAGCCCAGGTTGGTGCGAATGTAAAATCCTTAAATTGGTCACAGAGCAAATAATTAATTTACTTTAGATATCTAAAATTTGCCCAGAATTCTCATTGCTCCATGAAATCCATCCTTTAAGAATGAGGTTGTATGCTATGTAAATGTGCTGATTTCAAGTAAAAATCGCGAAAGAAGAGCATGACCTGATATGTGTTTGAATGATTTGTTCCTTGAAGTCAGATTTTAAGGAGATAGTTCTTTCTCTAAAGTTTGGAAATATAAATTCCCTGTGATAAGAATAGGGTTTAGTTCTCCCTCCGTTTTGCCAAACCTGACAGAATACGTTAAAATATAACCCCGCATTTATCTCTTTTAATTAGTAAATGTGAATTCTGAGATCAAAAAGTGTAGTCCTGAGGATGTTGGGAGTGTCCATTCTAGAAGCAAAGGGAGAATCTGGGGAATGCAAAGAGGGAGTGAGCTGAGCCCATGGCTAAAGATCAACCCCTTTCCCTTGGATGTCTGTGGAGAGCAACAGTGCTTGAATACTGCTCTCCTCTCCTAGGTGTTGGAGTTTGAAATCTCTAGCAGCCAGCATCATAGGACACTCACTCAAAGCAGACTGAACTGGTTATTGGGAGTCATCACCTTCCTATTATTCCTTCTAGTAACTGACAGGCTGAAGGAAGCCTCAGGAACGTTTCTCCAGAATAATGGCCAGGTGTGTGAGTCAGCCCTATGCAGAATGGAGCATAAAGAAGAATAATTCTTTTGGATGAAATAATAGAAATCCTATTTAAAGTAGCTAAACTGAAAGGGGGAAATTTATTCACTGGGACTGAGGTGCCTCACTAAATATAAGGACGAGAATTCAGTCAGGACTGAGGAACTTGAGGCAGGGACTCATACAGCACCAGAATGTTCTCTCCAGTCCTGGATTCTGCTTTTTCCTGTTCAACCATGTTGTCTTTTCTTTATTTGACCATTGGCTTTCTCTGCTCATTGTTTAGCCAGAGCGTGAGGCATGACAGATAACAATATCCAAACTGTTTTTCTTCACTGTCTCAAATCTCTTCCTGGTCTAGTTTGGATTAGAAAGGCAACACTGCCCAAATGAATAGGATCAATGGTGGGTGTCATACTTCCAACAGGGTGGCTCAGGCATTAGCCTTGGGACAAAGTAAGAGGAATGGTTCCTAGTAGGAATGATATCATAAGTGTCCACAACATAATCCAAATCACAATCAGATGAGGGGGAAGAAAAAAAAAAAATCTGTGATTCCATGAAGGCTTACTATCTGTAAAGAAAGAAGTAAGGAAATATATCAATCACTTCACAGTTCATTTGGGGGCTATTGGGCTGGTGATATGGTTTGGCTGTGTTCCCACCCAAATCTCTCCTTGAATTGTAGTAATCCCCACGTGTCAAGGGTGGAGCCTGGTGGAGATAATTGAATCAAGGGGGCAATTTCACCTATATTGTTCTCCTGGTAGTGAATAAGTCTCAGGAGATCTGACAGTTTTAAAAATGGGAGTTCCTCCGCACAAGCTCTCTTCCCTGCCACCATGTAAGACATGCCTTTGCTTCTCCTTTGTCTTCTGCCATGATTGTGAGGCCTCTCCAGCATGTGGAACTGTGATTCTATTAAACCTCTTTTTCTTTATAAATTACCCAGTCCCGAGTAGTCTTTATTAGCAGCATGAGAACAGACTAATACAGCTGGCCAAGTCAGAAATGGCTCATATGGGAAGGAAAGAGTTGAATCTGGCCTGGAAAGATTTGCCAAATCTAAAGAGGTGTAGGAGAGAGAAGGATTTCCAGGTAAGGAAAAGGCCACAGGAAAATAGGCCAGAGGCGCTAATGAACTCCCATTGGTGGCAAGGGGAAAACAGCTTGATTGTATCTAGCTATGACTATGGAAGACATGTAAGATTACTTTGGGTAATTACGGTGGTGCCAGATTGCAGAGGACTTTGCAGGTGGGCAGAGGATTTAGGTTTGGCAAGCAATAGTGAAACAGTAAAGATTTTCAAAGAAACAGTAATATGATAAAAATGAAATTTTAGAGGGTGAGTGCACAATGTATGAGATGTACTATATCAAGACGTTGAAGGCAGGACGGCTTCCTAGGAGATAGCTTTGGAGTTCAGCATAAAATAAAGATTCTCAGACCTCATCCCTGCTGTCGAATCAGAATCTCTGAGATTAGGGCTGGGAGTTTCTAGGCTTGAAAATTCCTCAGGTAAAAATTACTCAGGATATGCCTAACTGATTCCTGATCTGCTATTTGTTGGCTTGAGCAGTTACAAACTAAAAATGTTTATAGAAAAACTATTATCCTTTGAGAAACACAGTGAATTCTTTAGTAATTGGAGGAAAAGGAGAGAAGAAAGTAATACATAATCCCAATTCTTAGTTAAAGACCAACAACAACTCTTAGCAACCCAGTTTCCCCCGTTTTTATTTATTTAATCATTATTTTATTTTGTTATTTCAAATAATGCAGTGATTATCTTGGAACCCACCAACCAAAAACCAAAGCTGGCATCCTCACAGTTACTAGGCCTCACCTGTTACATGGCTTTGTCCTCACCTCATTGTCTGGATGTTTACCCACCAAAGGCAGCCATCACTCTGAATCCCATATTCATCATTCTCTTGCTTTTTAAAAAATATAGTTTATTGTATTTATATAGTTTTTCTACAAAGTCTATGTAGTTTTGTTTTAATGATGTTTGACTTTATAAAAAGAGTAGCATGCTGCATGCAGTGTTTTGGTGCTTACTTCTGAATCTTACTATTACATTGCGAAAACTGTTCCATATTGTTGGATGCTGCTGTACTTCGGGTGACTGAGCTTTTGGAGTGACTGTGGGAATGACGCACCAGGACTTGCGGTGAGATCACCAATCACCCCAACAAGCAGCTAAGAGGCACTGGGTGTTTCCAGCACTGTCACCTTCCCAGGGCAAGAGAGGAGAAGCCACACCATGGGGTGTCTTTTCAGAAAAAAAGGGAGGCCTAGCCAATGGATTTCCTGTCAACCCAAGTAGCTTAGAGGGGGCAATAGCTTTTCCCTTTTCCATACATGCAATCAGCTATACTCTTTGCCTGCCTGTTATTCAGGAAAATGGCCAGGGAAATGGGTGTTCGTCATGGTTAATGTGCAAATTGGTGAATTCACCCTGATGCCAAGAGCCAATTGTACATTCAGGCTACTTTTCTCAGATGATATATAATACATATCTATAATATCCTGCATTTATGTAACATACTGTTCTATATAGTATAATGTTATATAACATATTGCTACACACTGAGTGGTGTCCTCCAAAAATTCATGTTGAAGCCCTAACCTCCAGTACTTCAGAAGGAGACTGTATTTAGAAAGAGGTTTTTTTAAAGAGGTAATTAACATGAGGTTATTTGTGTGGGCTGTAATCCAATGTGACTAGCCTTGTAATAAGAGAAAATTTGGACACAGACACATATGGAGGAAAGCCTATAAGAACATAGCAAGAAGGCAGCCATCTACAAGCCAAGGAGAGAGGCCCCAGCAAAAACCAACCCTGCCAACACCTTGGTCTCATACTTCTAGCCTCCAGAACTGTGAGAAAAGAAATTTCTGTTGTTTATACTACCTGCTCTGTGGTATTTTATTATGACAGCCCTAGCAAGCTAATATATAATTGTTTTTATTATTACTAGTTTTAGCATAACAAAAAACAGTTCCTGTGACTAGACATCCTGGGTTCAAATTCTGGCCTCACTATTTATGAGTTTATAAGACCTTAGATCGTTCTGGTTCCTCCAAGATGGGGTAGATACATTCCTCGTAGGTCCTTTACAACTAAAAATCTTGGGCTTAATACAACACACCAGCATTGGAAGTCTTTGAAAAGCGAAAGAAGGCCGAGCTGCCCAGGACTTCAGGACCTGAGGAATGGCACTGTGGTGAGCTCCTGGGCTCTCTTATTTCCTCCTGAGTATCTTGCACAGGTGCTGTAGAAGCCTTTAAACCAGAGCCACAAACAGGCACAGACATAAAAAGCTCTGACAAAGGCCTGTTTCTAGGCAAAGGACCAGGAAGCATTTTGGCAGTACCTACCCTACTCTAGACAAATGCCAACCACCAATGGAAAAATGCCCCTCTACCCCTTACCCCCTGCTGGGCAGAAGATTCCATTCTCCTACCAGATGGTGCTAGCAGGACCAAATGAAACCAGGCTGTGCAATTCTCCTGCCAGGTTGGTGTCAGTGGGGTCCAGTGGTGATTTGAGTCTCCATCTAGACCCAGCAGCAATGAGACTTAAGTACATGCTGGGGTTCATCCGTGCTGCACTTTTTTTTCTGGTGTTAGTGGGGCCAAGTGGGGAGCTGAGCATCCACCCCCATCCAGTAGCAACAAGACAGAATTATGTGATGGGAGGCAGGCTAGTTGGTGCTCTGCTTCCCTCCCTCTCCTTACCTTGTGTCAGTGGAGCCCAGTGGGGTGGGAGTTGGTGTCCTGTTTCACCAGGAAGGTGTCACCAGAGCCGAAGAGGAAGCAGAATAGGAACAACCTATCTGCAATGAAGCAGTGTGAGTCAGTGTCCCACTCTTGCCAAGGGAGGGTTTTCAGGGCCCAGTGGGAACTTGGAAGTACACACCCACCCAACCCTTGCACTGCACTTCCCAAGGGGACTTCCTGCTAAAAACAGAAGATTCAATAGGGTGTAGAGTTTCATAATAGAATATCTACAATTCCCAGAATACAATAGAAAGTCATGTGTCATTCTAAAAACCAGGAAGATCACAACATGCATGAGAGAAGCAAGCAGATGTGGAAGTGATCAGACAAATATTTTATAGCAGTCATTATAAAAGTTCCCCAGAAACAATTAAAAAATTCTTTTGAAACAAATAAAAAATTAGGAAATCTAAGCAAAGAAGTAGCAGTCATTAAAAAAACATGAAAATTGTAGAATTGAAAAAATTCAGTAACCAAAGTAAAACCTAGCTGGATGGGCTCAGTAGCACAATGGAGATGATAGAGGACTGAACCAGTGAATTTGAGGACAGATCAATAGAATAGACTCACTATGGATAAGACAGAAAATAGGCTGAAAAACAAAGGCCTTGGAGAAGTTACTTAAATTGTCTGGATTTTATTTCACTCATCTTTAAAATGAGGAACATAATTGTAGCTATGTCAAAAACAAATTTTGTGACAATTAATTGAGATATATAATAAAGGCTTATCTGATGCAATGCCAGGCACATAGTTCTCAATAAAATTTAATCTCTATAATTATTATAATTTCCCTGGGTAGATAGCCATGTGATTTCATCTCTGTACAGTTAATTCAATTCAATAAGCATTTATTAATCACCAGCTGTACACCAGTGAGAAGTAATATTTAGGCTACATGGTCTGGTGGAAACGACATAAGGAGTTAAATTCATATCCAGAATCTGCTACTTCTCAGCTGCGTGATCTTGGACATGATTTTGAGATGCCTGTTTCCCACCTATAAAATGATCAAAGGGCCTATCTAAAAGGGCTGCTTTTTGGAAGGATTAAGGAGCATCTGGTACATAGCAGAGGGAGAAAAATATTGGTTATATTCCTTGAATTTTCATCACAGACTATTAGTTGTATTGAGGTATAATGCTATACAAAGAACTGCATATATTTAATGTATACATGTTAATGAGTTTGGACATATGTAAACACCTGTGATCCTATCACCACAATCAAGGTAATAGACATATCCAACACCTCCCCGATTTTTCTCATCAAAGATTATTTTCCCCAACCATTCAAATTTTTTGAACATATAGAAAGGTTGCAAGAATAGTATAAGAAACACTCATAAAACTTCCACTTAATCCAAGATGATTTGAACAAATAATTTGAGCATGACATTATAGTAATTTGTGAGAAGTATAAAAGAGGAGATTGGCCTCCTTCCTTTGACAAACTTTTACTCTAAATCAGAAGGTGACAACACTGAATCATAGAACTGTAAAGCTGGAAGGGGCTTTGTATATGTACAGAGAGCAAATAGCTAGAATATGTGACTCCAAATGATAATTGCTGTTCTTAGGAGTTGAGGGAGAGGTCTATGTGGGGGAAGGCTGGGTACAGAAGGTTTCTTGAAAAAAGTGCTTTTAATCAAGGCTTGGAGGAATTCATCAGCCTGGATGAACCGGTGGAGGTTGGCACCATTCCTTGCAGAGATAGAGCCTAGAACTGAGACAGACATGGTCAGGAGCTAATAGGGGATGTTATTGGAGTCCTTTCTGTTTTCTTTGGCAAACAAGGATAGAGAGAACAGTGAAAGGAAGACAGAAGACAGGCCCCAGCTTCTAAGGGACCATTTAGGAAATGACTTTGGTGTTGAATGCAGTCTGGCTAAGGGAATGCATAAGAAGCAAGTTGCCGAGCTAATTAACCCATAAATACCTCTACTCTTTGTCCCTTTCCAGGCCATAGAAATGCCTTACCCCTTTGGTTTATTAGATGTGTTGTGTCAGCAACAACTCCTCATCACACTCACATATACACTCATATTCACTTCCACACATTTTCGTACATACATATTCACACATTCACTCACACTTACACTCTCCTACACATACACTCACATGCACAATCATACAGGCACACATATACTCACAAGACATACAAATGTACATAAACATACCCTACACACACAAGCAGTCACACCCATACTCATATCCCCCACCATATATACATAAAAACATGTGGACAAGTCTTCTTTGAAATGTCCCAACATATTTATTTTCATGTGACATACTTACTAATATGTGGACAATTTTCATAAATTAAGCTTAAAATGGTAATATAATTTACTATTTAGTTAAGGGTGAATCTCTACCAATAATAAGGTCATATATAAAACCACCTTCCTCCATATCCCCCCAAACACTTAGAAAATGTTACTAAAAATGTTAAAACACAGAAACAACAGATTTTCATTTTAAAGTAAAATTGATAGCATCTTCCCAAACTTTCCTGGCACTGTACCGTTCTTGTCACTATTATACAACAAAACCAATTACCAGATCCAAAATAATAAATTAACCTGTTGCTAAACCATCTTCTCATGGCTCTGGCCCCTACCCTACTTATTTTTCTAAATTTCACATTTGTATCTTTTCAAGAATAAATAGCAGGTTTTTTTTTTTTTTTTTTTTTTTTTAACTGTCACTCTTTTGTGATTTCTCAAACTTTAGTTTTGGAGAAAATTTCCTGAGATTTTATAACTTCTCTTAATAGACAACAACAGCAAAGTGTTTCTGTTTTCTTTTTGATTCGCTTTGGGTCACGGTATACCTTTTAATAATGACATACATTTCAGCTATAAACCTTCTTACAATAACTAAGTGCAGTTTGTTTGTTTGTTTGTTTGTTTGTTTGTTTTTTTGTTTTGTTTTTTTGTTTTTTTTTTTTTTTTGAGACGGAGTCTAGCTCTGTCGCCCAGGCTGGAGTGCAGTGGCGCGATCTCGGCTCACTGCAAGCTCCGCCTCCCGGGTTCAGGCCATTCTCCTGCCTCAGCTTCCAGAGTAGCTGGGACTACAGGCGCCCGCCACCACGCCCGGCTAGTTTTTTTTTGTATTTTTAGTAGAGACGGGGTTTCACCATGTCAGCCAGGATGGTCTCAATCTCCTGACCTCGTGATCCGCCTGCCTCGGCTTCCTAAAGTGCTGGGACTACAGGTTTGAGCCACTAAATGCAGTTTAGTTTACTATATCCTTTCTATCTTTTTAGCATTTTAGATTTTATTCAATTTTCTGAAACAGCCATTTATTTTCAGTAGGTCTTGTAGGTTGTTTTTCTTAGAATCTTCTTTTTGTAGTGGTTACATTAATCTCCCAAGCCTTTGGACGTCTATCCTTGATCTCTGGAATCTCTGTTACTTTTTTTCTTACAGTCAATTACTCTAATTTCTTTTCCTTTCACCTCTACTTGTTTTTATAGAAACTTTCTTTTTTTAAAAATTTTGATATTGCCATTAACTTTACTGCACATTGCTGCTTTGCTCTGGCTGTGAATAGCCTGCACAGGCAGATAGAGAACTGAAACACATGATAAAGAGTTCAGTATAATTTGCACAAGATCCCAAATACACATTTGTCATGCTGGGCACCTAATGGTCGTATCTATCACTAAAGCAATAAAGGAGCATATTAAGCAGATATATTGGTGCTGAGCATGATTGCTTAAGAGAGCATAAATAAATAAAATTTCTCAAATAGATAAACATCACCTGAGTTTCCATCTTACCAAAGACGATTGGGAGCCATAATGATAACCAGAAATTGCTTCTTCATTGGCTTCTTGGTTTTTAGTTAGGTAAAGGAGGGTCTGTAATTTAGATCAGGGCCATTGGCTCCATAATGGGAAAACAGGGACAACTATGCCAGTTAAACAAGCAATATTCCTCATTTCTGACCTAGGATAATGTTCTACAGGATGAGAAAGTGCTTATGTAACTGGGTATATTTAGCCTTATTTCTTTAAACTGGGTCTGTTAACCCAATTAGACAATTTTAGACTAGGCCAGTAGGAAAACTGGGTAAATGTGTAGTGACCCAGAAGTCAACTTGAGCATACCAGGAGATTAGGAGAGGGCCAGGGTCTGTATTGGTTTGCTTTGGTGCTGCTACTGCCTTCTGTATTCTACCAGCAAGTGACTTGGTGAGGATGCTGCCAAGTCTTAGGTGCCCACCTAGACTGGCTCTCTTTTTCCATTGACAGAAGCTGGTCCAGCCCAGTTGTGCTTATAACTCATTTTTTATTATTTTTCTTAGTGTTGCTGGTGTTATTGGTAGTTGTGGTAGAAATAATAGTAATAGCCTTTTCTGTGGCTCCTTGAAGTGTTGAAAGATCCTCGCATTAACCCCCTTTCTCTTGTGAAATAGCTTGAATTACCCTTCCCACTTGAACTATGAGAAGATCATCTCTGAAGAGTCAGGTGACCGGTTCAAGAGCCATGCTCTTCTTATGCCTGGCAGAAATGTTTCCTGAATATATCCATGTTCCCCTGTGCATTTAGTAGTGCCCTTGTGGTGAGATGGAGCATTTAAGAGCCAGTGCATGACTGTCTGATTCACTTGCTTTGGACTTTTGTTGCCACTGACCTGGAAGCCACATCTTGAGATACTGAAGCCACAAGATACAAGTGGCTTGGATTCCTGATTCACTGCTTGAAGGGAGCTACCCTGGAGAGCTGCCAGGCTTGCAGACAATTTTGCCCAAGTGAGAAATAAACCTTTGGCATATTCAGTTACTGAGATATTATTTATTACTTATTACTGCAGCATAGGCTAGCCTATCCACCAGAGTAAAGTGATCCTTACTTATATCTAGGTATGTATAGTGTAAAATATATTTTTATGTATATCAAATTTCATCTCCACAAGAACTCTGAAAGTAAAATATTCTATTTCTATTTTTCGAGTATAATGATAATCAATGCTGCAGTGTTCAGATTGTTTTGTGCACTTTTAGATCTCTATTTTTCATTTATCACGACTGGGATTTTATATGTATTTATAAAATTATTTGATCAATATCTGTCTAGAGTTGAAGCTCCATGAGGATACTATAATCCTGAGCCTGAATGAAGCAGATAATGCCTGTTTGTTGAATTCAGTGAATAAATGAGTGCTAGTATCAGTGGATGAGTGCATTTCATCCTTATGGACGAGCCACAGAAATTCTACTTTGAATCAGGGGAATTAATTGTGTGGTTTGAATAATCCATGGCATTTGGCAAAAGGAGATTGATTGATTCATCTTAGTTGTAGGACTACATCTACCCCTGGGACAAGATGGGCCATGTCCTTGGGCCAGGATATCCACCCTTCTGGCTGTTTTGATGTGGGAAATACTGACTTCAGAGAATGTATATTGATGATTGGACTTTATGCCCAGTTTATTAATATAAGTTCTAATGGCATGCCAAACTTTGTCACAATTACTCTGGGGCAGAGCCAATTTCAATATATTTTATGCTTCAAGACCATAAAGAAAAATTCATGAAAGCTTTGGTGGTTGTGGTGTCATTGCTTGCATGAACATTAGAATCTGAACTTTTGACACTGTAGATATTAATTACAGATATTAGGTATTAGTACATGTACTGGTTTAGAGCTGTTTTCATGAACACTGGGTGAATGGCACTCTTAATGGAACTCTTCAACATTCATTGCTGTTGTTTACACAAGAAAAATGATTCATATTTTGTAGGGTGGATGGTAGGTTTATGCTGACTTAGCCACATTTTGTTAGGCTGTTCTTCCTGGTAACTTATAGTCATTTCTGAGACAATTGCCTGGGACTAGTCTGGTCTGTGATCATGGAATTGCGTGACATTAACTGACAAATGGATAGATTAAAGCCATGGCTCTGACCTTATTAAAATAATGTGTTCATCATTCTAGCTTAAGAACATTGACTTCAAAGAGAACTCTTGGAACTAAGGAAAGCTAAAGGGATAAAACACAAAATTTAAATTTAGTCTGTGTTTTCTCTGGATTCAACCAGCAATACAAATCTTGCTCAGTGGTATAATGGTGTAAATCTGGCCACCATGGACTTAAGGATACCCATAATTAGATAACTTAATCATCTGATCTAATGAAGAAAATGCAATAGCACTATGCTTATTTGGACACAGCTTTTCTTATCTGTGCCTATGAATAGGATGTGTGATAACAAGATGTCAAAACAATTGCTGCACTGTGAGCTGAAGGAGGGCAGTCTACTCAAAGCAGACAGAAGGAATGATCAAGGGCACATGTGAGAGCCATGGACAGTAATGAGGCTGTGGCTCCAGACAGACCCTGCTGGCCTGTTGTCTGAGATGAGGCCATTAACTAAGCATGTCTTGTAGGGCAGAATCACAGGACCCCCAACAGAAAGTGGCCCAATGTCTTTTATGTTAAATACAGGGCAGACACTGGAAAGGAAAGGCATGTAGGAACAAAAACTGCTTTTTAATCAAACTGTTAAAGTGAATGCAGAACCTGTAGAATAGGATAAAATATTTTCAAACTATGCATCCAACTGGGGACTAATATCCAGAATGTATATGAAACTCAAACAACCGAACAATAACAAAAACAAACAACTCCATTAAAAAATGGGCAAAGAAGATGAATAGACATTTCTCAAAAGATGTACAAATGGCTACAAAGCATCTGAGAAAAATACTCAACATCACTAATCATCAGAGAAACACAAATAAAAACCACGATGAGATATTATCTTACACCAGACAGAATGGCTATTATTAAAGAGACAAAAAACAACAGATGTTGGTGAGGATGTAGAGAAAAGGGGATGCTTATACACTGTTGGTGGGAATGTAAATTAGTACAAGCCTCTATGGAAAACAATTTCTCAGAGAACTAAAAACAGAACTACCATTCAATCCAGCAATCCCATTACTGGGCATCTACCCAAAGGAAAAGAAATCATTATATCAATAAGATATCTGCACTTATTTGTTTATTGCAGCACTATTCACAATAGCAAAGATATGGAATCAACCTAAGTTTAGCAACAGATGACTAGATAAAGAAAAATGGTATATATGTATGTATATATACATATACACATATACACAATGGAATACTACTCAGCCATAAAAAATAAAATTATGTCTTTTGCATCATCATAGATGGAATTGGAGCCCATAATCTTCATTGAAAGAACTCAGAAATACAATTTCGGGTACCATGTGTTCTCACTTATAAGTGGGAGCTAAATAATGTGAGCACATGGACATAGAGTGTGGAATGACAGATATTGGAAACTTGGAAGGATTGGGGGGGTAAGGAATAAAAAATACTTAATGGGTACATTGCATATTGCATTATGGATACATTAAAATTAAGGATACATTAAAATTAAGGATAATTAAGGATACATTAAAAGCCAAGATTTCACCACAGTGCAATATATGCACATACCAAAATTGCACTTGTACCCCTTAAATTTATTTTTTTAAAACCCCGTTAAGTTGAGGAGAATCACTGTTGGTCATCAGATACCGATCTGTCAGTTCAGAGGACAAGAGTGCCTGTCCTCATGCTCACAGGAAGCGGCGTGTCTTATGCTATCCCATCTAGGAAAACCTGTGTACCTCAGACTATGCAGATACTTCACTATTTATCTGGTTTCCTCCATAATTCCCTGACCAATTATCCATTCATTTGAAGTTGCAGCATGTGCTACAGTATTGTGAGTTACTGCTATGAATTATTATGGAAACATACATTCAAGTATTTCTGAAGTCGTAGGTAGCAGCACAGGGCTTCTGCCTATATGTTTCAAAGCTTTTCTCAGTATACAAAGCAAAGAAGGTGTTAAACATGAATAATTGGAATTCACATGGCTTGGGAAATAGATTGTGAATGAGAAAGATTAACAGTCCCCTGAAAAAGTAGGAAAGGATGAAGTTTCTATCAAGGGAGGTGAAAATTGTCAGTGGATTGTACAATGAGATGGGATAACACTGCTTAGGCCGTCTATTTCCCTTAAATTGCCATGGCAGGAGTTACATAAGCAAAGGGTGCTTTTTTTTTTTTTAATTGCGCCATTCTCTTTTTGTCTCCTTCTCTTAAATTTCTTTTAAAAGAAGCTTAAGAAGCAGCATGCAAAGCATCCAGAATAATGCAAAGTTACCCTCCAATGCTGGTAAATGTAAAAAAAAAAAAAGCTCTTTTTTTTTTTTTTTTTTTTTGCATTTGAACAAAGTACATTTTTAGGTACTGTGCACACTCTTGTTTGTGGTAGTTTGTGAACATTTCTCATGGTAAGCAGACTTTTACCAGTTTGGCCATTCCTGAAAACGAGACCCATGACAATTCTTTCAAAAATTTCTCTTAGAAGAGCCTTCCTGTGTTTAGTCTCATGGAAAGAAATGCTGGTTGGAAGAAAAGTCCTTTAAGGAAGAAAAACATGATACAAATAGCAAGTTTTTTAAAGCAACCCAATTCTCCACTCTATGAAGTAGAAAACAAGCTTTCTTGGAAACCGGTGGCAGAAAGTGTTTCTAGATTGAGAGAAGAATGGGGATGGAGGAAGGGAGAAAGCGTATTTCCTTATTCCATGCCAGGGCAATGACCAGGGGATATACAGTAATAGCAAACATTCACATTGCACTTGCTGTTACCTTTCTAAGCACTGCTTTCCATAGTTTAGCTCAATGAATCCTCCCACTCCCCATGAGGTAGGTATATTTTTATCCCCTTTTGCAGATGGGAAACTGAGGTACAGAGAGCTCACAGGACTTGTCAGAGATCACACCGGTAGTATGTGGCATACTGTGGTATTGAGCCAGCTTTGCTTATAACAGACAAAGCGAAGAACTCAGGGGGTGTGATTTATAGACTATTTATAGTCTGAAGAGACCTGTTAATAAAAAATATTCCCTTAATGCTCTCTGAGATTCTTATCTTAGGGTCCAAAGACTGACCAATGAAAACTTCATTTGAGTAGCATACTCTATTCAAAGACAGGCTACAGTAATAGACTAATCCCATTTTCTTCCCTACAGAAATGAAGTAAAGGCATTTGGAAGGAGGAGTGAAGCAGTAAGTCAATGTGCAGGGAGCCTTCTGGGCTGGGGAGGAACAGTGAGGGTGGATGGCCAATGGGAGCAGCCTACCTTCCCGCCAGGGTCATGGCAGAGGGAGAAGGGGACAGATGCAAACAGAAGAGGCCTGGAGAATGGGTTTTAGAGTCAGGCAAACCTCACTTTGAAACCCCCTTATCACTTCTCAGGCTAGTTCCTTCACCTCTCGAAGTTTCACTTTTCTCCTCTATTATCGCCTGGGGTGGTTTAAAACATTTAATAACATCCTGAGAGTAACATACAGTATGTTACCCCCAGACATGAGGGTACAGACATTAGCACACAATGAAGGGACAAAAGAGCCCAAACTCCAGAGCCAAGTTGCCTGGGTACAAGTCCTGGGGGCCTCACTCATTAGCTGTGTGTGAGTTAACGTGTGTAAAGTGGTTAGACTCGTCTGTGGTACATAATACATGCTATGTAATTGCTAGCTATTTTCACAGTAAGCACTCAGAAAATAGCAACTGGCATTAGTGAGATATATATTAACCTACTTAGGCTTTGTTTTTCTAGCACATCCATGTATTGATACCTGTCAGTCTATAAATAAGCTCTTCTTGTTGGCGTTGAACTTTCTTATACCTACTATAAACGCTGCCTATTATTTTTGGTTAAATTCTATTTCTAACAAAGCATAATTTTGGTTCAAAAGTGTAATGCTACTTGGGAGGCTGAGGCAGGATAATCGCTTGAACCTGGGAGGTGGATGTTGCAGTGAGCTAAGATCGTGCCACTGCATTCCAGCCTGGGCGACAGAGTATGACCCCATCTCAAAAAAAAAAAAAAAGTGTAATGCAGCGGGTAATAAGGTAAAGTTTTCTTCTTTTAGGCTTTAAGATACAGTTATTGTAGGAGTCAAGAATTCCATCTTTTGGTTTGGATTGACAATCAAAGCAGGAATGTAAATTGTACCTGGACTTGTTCTCCAGATTATCAGGGAATGAGCTCATGGCTTCCTGTTTAGCTTCCTGAGCTCTGTGCTCTGACATGAAACTGCAGAATTGGAGCTGCTCCAACATTTTGTTCTGGAGCAAGACGAAATGTAAGAACTCTTGCTGGGTGGCCCAGTGCACTTTCAAATATAGGTCGGTGCAAAAGTAATTGTGGTTTCGGATCATGAATTTTAAATCATTATAACTAGGCTCAAACATATCTTTATTAATCAAAGTAGGAACTATTACAATCAACACATTTTTTGCCAACAAGAAATAAGTTTGTTTACTCCTGTAGAACAAAAATCCATGCTTTGGGATTCGACAACCCATGGAAAGGATTTTCTGCAATCTGCTGGTTGTGGAAGCATTTTCCCTACAAAAAGTTGTTGACATGCTTGAAGTGGTAATATGTTGGCGAGAGGTCAGGTGAATATGGCGGATGAGGCAAAACTTCGTAGCCCAATTTGTTCAACTTTAAAGTGTTGGTTGTGTGACATGCAGTCAGGTTTTGTCGTGGAGAATAATTGGGCCCTTTCTATTGATCAATGCTGGCTGCAGGCATTGCAGTTTTTGACACATCTAGTCAATTTGCTGAGCATACTTCTCGGGTGTAAATCGTTTCACCGGGATTCAGAAAGCTGTAGTGGATCAGACTGGCAGCAGACCACCAAACAGTGATCATAAGCTTTTTTTGGTGGAAGTTTGGCTTTGGGAAGTGCTTTGGAACTTCTTCTGGGTCCAACCACTCAGCTGGTTGTCACCGATTGCCATATAAAATCCACTTTTGTCACATGTCACAATCCGATCAAGAAATGGTTCATTGTTGTTGCATAGTGTAAGATAAGATGATACTTCAAAACAATGATTTTTTTTTTTTTTATTTTTGGTCAGCTCATGAGGCACCGACTTATTGAGCTGAGCTTTTTCACCTTTCCAATTTGCTTCAAATGCCAAACAACCATAGAATGGTCGACGTTTAGTTCTTTGGCAGTTGTGTAGTTGTAAGAGGATCAGCTTTGATTGTTGTCCTCAATTGGTTGTGAACTTCGATGGCTGGCCACTACACTCCTCATCTTCAAGGCTCTCATCTCATTTGCAAAACTTCTTGAACCACCAATGCACTGTACATTCATTAGCAGTTCCTGGGCCCAATGCATGGTTGATATTGTGAGTTGTGTTTGCGACTTTACAACCCATTTTGAACACGAATAAGAAAATTGCTCAAATTTGCTTTTTGTCTAACATCATTTCCATAGTCTAAAATAAACATAAAATAAAAAGCAAGTAATGTCATTAGCAAAAAAAATTAAAGTGAGAAATGCCCATTAAAATGATGTATAACATAACCACATTTATTTAAGAATGTATTCCAATATGAAATGACAAATTCCCAACAATGCAAAAACTGCAATATATCTTTATTATTTTCCAGGGACCTTTTAAATGCTTTTAGTACTTTGGCCTCTGTTTCAATGTTGTGAATGCCATTATACACATGGACATTGTGAACAAATATGAAATGCTGGCAGTTATATTTTTCCAGTTAGTAGTTGTTTATTGATTGATCCATTCATTCTCCTAAAACTTCTTTAATGAGCATCTATTATATGCCAGGAATTGTTCCAATCATTGGGGATTCAGCAGTGAACAAAACAGACACAATTCCTTGGTTTCAAGATACCTGCATTCTGATAAAACGTGTGAGACGATAATAACCAAGGTAAGTAAAGTATGTGACATGTTGGTGACAATGTACTATGGAAAAAAACAAAAAGGTTGGTAGGGTGAGAGGGTGACTAGGAAATCCTCACTGAGAGGCAAATGATGTTCGATTAAGACCTGAAGGAGTGTGGAAATGAACTATGTGGGAAGAGCAACCCAGGCAGAGGGAACAGCAATTACAAAGACTCAGAGGCAAGAGAATGCCTAGCATATGTAGGGCAGAGCGAGGAGGCCACCACAGTAGCTGGAGAGGAGTGAGTTTTGGGGAGAATAATTGGAAACAGAGTCAAAGAACAGGGAAGAGTCAAAAGATAGAGGTCCTTGCAGGCCATTAGAAATTTGGCTTTACTCCTGGTAGGATAGGAAGCTATTACACGGTCTCAGGCAGAGGAATAGCACAACCTGATTTTCATTTTGCCAGAATCAGTCTGGGGCTAGATTGAAAACAGAAGTGGTAGGGGGTGAACAAAGATCAAAGAAGAGTCCCCAGTTAAGGGGCTATCACAGTGGTCTTGGGGAGGGAGGACAGTGACTTGGACCAGGGGGCTTGCAAACATCCTGGAATGTAAAATGGTACAGCCACTCTGGAAAGTAGTTTGGCACCTTCTAAAAACAAGCCAACAAACAAATGAAAACTAAACTGAAATAGCCACACATTGACCATACAACTCAGCAATTGAACTCCTGGGAACCTATCTTGAAGAAATGAAAACAGGTCCACATAAAAAATGTGTACAAATTTATTCACAGCAGTTTTATTTATAGTTGACAAAAACTGGAAATAACAAAAATGTCCTTCAAATAACACCTGTAGATCTCAAGGGTATTATGCAGAGTGAAAAAAAAAGCCAACCTCAAAAGGTCACATACTGTACATTTCCATTTATATGACACTACTGTAATGACAAAATTATAGAGATGGAAAACAGGTTGGCAGGGGTTTTGGATACAGAGGGAGGTAGGTGTGATCATAAAAAGGTAGCATGAGGAAGTCCTTTGTGGCGATGGGTTAGTTTCTGTGTCTTGATTGCAGTTGTGATTACATGAATTCACACATAGGATTAAGTGACACAGAACTCTACACACATACAGTGTCAATTTCCTGGGTTTGATATTGGGCTATAAATGTGAGATGTAACCATGGAAGGAATCTGGGTGAAATGTATGCAGGACCTCTCTGTGCTATCTTTGCAGCTTCCTGTGAAAAATATGATTAGCTGACATGGCGGTAGGGCAGAGGTGTCAGGGGAAGCAGGGAAGGAGGGAGGGCCTTGGGTCAGCAGAGTTGTGGCTCATTCTTGGAGTCTTTGTGTTCTTTGGGATTCTTGATAGTATTTGTGGCTCCTTTTAAACTCCTGTAGTTGCGTGAGGCTTAGTGCCCTTTAATAATAATAGAAGACGCTGATGAAGGCAAAAAATAAATGGAGCCAACAGAATTTGCTGACTGAGCTGATGTGGGGTATAGGAGAAAATGGAGCTAAAGATGACTCCAAGAGTTTTGGCCTGAGCAACTGAAAGATTTGAATTGCAATTAATCATCAAAAGTGCTAGGTTGGGGGTATATATTGAGAACTCAGTTTTAGATACGATATATTTAAGATACCCAGTTGACATCTCTGGAAGTCATCAGCATGAAAATGGCATTTTTAGCTATAAACCTAGATGAGATTACCAAGAGAGTGAGTATATAGAGAGAAGTGAATTTGGGGCTGAGTTTAGAATGCGCCAACATTTAAAGATGTCAGAGATAAAGAGGAACCAGAAAAGACCAGGACACAGTGCCCAGACAAATAAGAGAAAATGTAGGTGAGGGAGGTTGTAAGAAGATAGTCATGATCTGTCTCAAATACTGCTGAAATGTCAACAAGATGAAGACAGAGATTTGACCATAGCTTTAGCAGTTTGGAGGGTATGAGAGAACTCCATGGGGTATTGAAGGACAGAAGGTCAAAGTATAACTGGAGTGGATTCAAAAGACAATAGGAAGAGTTAAATTGAAAACACTGCTTATAGTAGCTGCTGGGGAATCTTGCTAGAAAGGGAAGGTGAAAATGTAGAGAAACCAGGAGAAGTTTTCTGGTTTTTTTTTTCCCCTTTTTTTATGACGAGAAGGAAAGAACGTCTTTTGTTCTGGTGGAAATGATTCAGTATAGAAGGCAACTTTTATGGTATGGGAAAGAGGAGAGAATAACTGAAGAAATGTCCTTGAGGAGGCAAGAAGGGTTGGGATCTAGTGCACAGGTAATGTGGAAGCAATAGCTTTTTCCAGGAGAGAAGCAGAGTTTAAAGGTGCAGATGGGTGAGGCCATGTGTGCGGAGGGGCTATCTTGTGGGAGTTCTATTTGGGTGGTTTCTATCTTTCCAGTGAAATGGTAAGCAAGGTCATTGCTGCTACAGATGAGAATAGGTGGGTGAGGCTGGAGGTTTGAAGTGGAAAAAGAAACTGTGAAAGCATAGAAGAAGGAATGCACCAGGGGAACAAGTGCACCTTCTTTCAGCTGTAGCACATGTGTTTTATGCAATGAGATGTCTCTACTCTTAGTTTGGTATATTTATCATTGCAATAATTGTACTTCCTATTTGGTCAATGACTTGGCAATTCATGCAACCCTGTGACCTCAATTCTCTTTTAACCCCTTGAGAGGTTAATTTTGAAATTTTGGATTTTGGAAGAAAGGAAAATATGAAAGGGGAAGGAATGTCTAATGTGAGGAGGTATGGAAACAACCAGGAGAACAAAAAGTAGAATAGTTGTTTATTTCATCATTTATGGAACCCATGAAAGGGTTTTAGGTCACTGACATGCAAACAATGGCAGTTTCAGCTAAATGGAATACTTTGGATATTTTTACTTGTGTTATGTTCATCCAAACAAATATTTGTTGATAAGCTAACATTATCCAAACAAATATTTGTTGATAATCTAGTATTGAGCCAGGAACTATGCTATATACCAGGGACTGGGGAGCAGATGGCCATTGTCCTCAAAAGCCCTAGGTACTATGGAAGTAGAAATGTAAAGTGTGGTAAGTGGCAGGATGCAAGGGAAGGGAGGTGCCTGAATATGGCTGGGCAGTCGGTGGGCATTATTCAGAAAGAGACTCAACTAGGGATATTGGAATTGAGATTGACAGAAGGAGTGAGGGATAACCTGGTGATGTGGGTTGTGAGTAAGAAAAAAGCCATTTCATGGGAGGGTGAGGGCAAAGGTGAGAGGGTAGAAGGGAAGAGAAGCAAGGAAATAAGGCTCTGAGGGAGAGGCTACAGGGCCGGTGATCAAAAGTCTTGAGATGCTTCCATGTGATGGCTCCTGTCTGTACTCCCAGGACCTTGGGAGGCCAAGGTCGGTGGATCACTTGAGGTCAGGAGTTTGAGACCAGCCTGACCAACATGGTGAAACCACGTCTCTACTAAAAATACAAAAACATTAGCCAGGCATGGTGTCAGGCGCCTATATTTCCAGCTACGTGGGGGGTTGAGGTGGGAAAATCTCTTGAATCCAGTAGATGGGGGTTGCAGTGAGCTGAGATTGCACCATTGCACTCCAGCCTGGGTGACAGAGTGAGACTCCACCTCAAAAAAAAAAAAAAAAAAAAGTCCTGAAATGGAGAGGACCAGGACAGAGGGGAGCCATGGGTGAGGAGATGGGTGAGGAAGGAGAGGGGCTTTAACCCTGGGTACCTGCATTTTATTGCTAAAGCCATGTTAGTGCAGCATCTTCTTACAAGGCTGGCTGTGACCTAGGAGAGAAAGAAGAATTGACCAGAAGGAAATAAGGAGGAGAAGGGAAGGGAAGAATATCAGCTTCTTGGTGGATGCAACTGGGATAGCCCCCAATGCACAAGGCCCAGCATTGACCCTACCTTTCCTTGGTCTCTAAATCTGCATCAGAGTTTTACAACTTGTCAGGAAGCCAGGGATGGCTGAAGAGCACTGGACTTGGAGACTTGGGTTCTTGTCTCCAGTATAAAGTCATTAGGCAAGTTGTTTATCTCTGGGTCCTGATTTCCTCATCTGTAAAACCAGGTGGTTGGGTCTGAAGCTCAGATGCGTCATTTCTAAAAAATATTCCCTTGTGCTATATATTAATCGTTAGTGAGCATAAGGATATTATATTTCATTCCCCACTCAACACTCATGTAAGGCCTTTCTTTTCATGCTGCGAACTCTTCTAATTCAGGCCTCTTGTGTAGGGCATTTGTGATCCATCGACATCTGTGCTTTTATTCTGTTACTTAGTGTTACTGGTTTCCTTGAAAGGTGATTTGGAAGTTTCACAGAGATGATGAACTGTCAATCTTAGAGGAGTGAGGAATATGTGTAGTAACAATGATAATGAAGATGATGATGATGAAGATGGTGATAATGGTGATTCTGATCTCTTATTCATTTTCCATATATCACATTTAATTCACACAACAAACTTTTGATATAAAGATTTCCATTATCTGCATTTTACAGATAATGCACAGATTAGGCACAGAAAGGTGACGTAACCTTCTCAAAGTCACGCAGCATTTGAATCCATGTAGTCTATTTGAGTGTGTGAATAGGGAGAAAGGAGATAGAAAGGTGGAGGTTGGGGATTACATTGTTTTTGAAATTTCATAGGAAGTTTCCAAATATCTAATGCAGAACAATCCTATAAATTGACTCTCAGAAAACATTTTAAGGGTTAATATACATTGCAAGATGACAATTGTGACTGTACCAGAAACAGAAATGACATTCCAGGGAATAAGATTCTTCAGTTTAGTTTAAATGTAGAGAGTTTGAAATGTGTACCTGTTTTAAAACTTATTTTTTAAATTTCAGCTTTCATTTTAGATACAGGGATAAGTGTGCTGGTTTGTTACGTGAGAATATTGCTTTATTCTGAGGTTTGAGTAAGGGTCTTGTCACCTGGCTAGTGAGCATAATATCTGATATGTAGTTTTTCAACTTGCATCTCCCTCCCTCCCTCTCCCCTCTAACAGTCTGCAGTGTCTATTGTTCCCATGTTTATGTCCATGTGTGCTCAATGTTTAGCTCCCACTTATAAGTGAGAACATGTGATATTTGGTTTTCTGTTTCTGTGTTAATTCACTTAGGATTATTGCCTCTGGCTGCATCCATGTTGCTGCAGAGGACACAATTTCATTCTTTTTTATGGCTGCATATATTTCATGGTGTCTATATACCATTTCCATTGTCTGCATTTTACAGATGAGGAAATTAGGCACAGTGAGGTGAGGTAAACTTCTCAAAGTCAGGCAGCATTTGAATCCACGTAGTCTTAACCATAGTTCCATTTCAGTGTGTGAGTAGAGGAGGAAAAGAGGATAGAAGGTAAGTTCTTCATCATTTAAGTTGTAGAGTCCCTTATTAAGACAAAAGCATCCTCCATTGATGGGCATCTGGGTTGATTCCATGTCTTTGAGACCTGCACCTCTTCCATCATCTTCCTCCCAGCTCTGAAGAGCATCTTCTGTTCACTTCAGCTTCCTCTAGTCAAGAGGAAACTCACCATGACGTGCCTTGTTTTGTCATGTGGGTCTACTTACATAAAAAATGTTATTTGGGCCGGGTGCAGTGGCTCACGCCTGTAATCCTAGCATTTTGGGAGGCCGAGACGGGTGGATTGCCTGAGCTCAGGAGTTCGAGACCAGCCTGGGCAACATGGTGAAACTGTGTCTCTACTAAAATACGAAAAATTAGCTGGGCATGGTGGTACACACCTGTAATCCCAGCTACTGGGGAGGCTGAGACTGGAGAATCGCTTGAACCAGGAGGCAGATGTTGCAGTGAGCTGAGATCGCACCACTGCATTCCAGCCCGGGCGACAGAGCGAGACTCTCTATCCAAAAAAAAAAAAAGGTATTTGGAAGTAGTTATGATCTGATTTTTTAATGATTCATGTTGTACAAGGGCAATGTAATAACCTGCATTTGTGTCATACCTGACAGTTTGCAAAGAGCTCACATTATAATTACGATTAACATTTATTGAACACCTATTATGTGCTAAGCTATGTCAAGCAGTTTTATATGGGTTATTTCACTTAATCCTCACAACAACCTTTTGAGGTTGATTTCATTGCTATCCCTATTTTAGAGATGAGAAGACTGAGACACACAAGTGTTTAAGTTTAAGGTCACCTGACTAGTACAACAGGAATTTGACTCAGACCAAAATGACCAACTGTAATGCAGGAATTAGGTTTTCCATTTGTTACAAGGAAATTTTCTTCACATTTCAAATTTAATATGTGGCAATGATTACATTTGAAATGTGATGGAAATATGGGGCTATTGCTGTTTTTGGTTTTATCAGGGACTCTGCACTCTACAACTTGAATGTTGAAGACTATTTACTTTTTTTTTTTTTTCTTTGAGACAGAGCCTCACTCTGTCACCTAGGCTGGAGTGTAGTGATGGGATCTCGGCTCACTGCAACCTCTGCCTCCTGGGTACAAGTGATTCTCCTGTCTCAGCCTCCCAAGTAGTTGGGACTACAGGTCCGTGCCACCATGCCCGGCTAATTTTTGTATTTTTTTTTTTAAGTATAGAGAGGGGGTTTCACCATGTTGGCCAGGCTGGTCTCGAACTCCTGGCTTCAAGCAATCCACTTGCCTCAGCCTCCCAAAGTGCTGGGATTACAGGCGTGAACCAACGTGCCTGGCCAGAACTTTTACTTTCATCAGAAATCAAAACCTCCTCTATTCAACAAGTAATCTTTAATAATTTTTGGGTCTTTTCTCTACCATGCTGTGAACCATTTCTGTAAATAATGATCCCCTCCTTTGCAAAAGTCCTACAAAAGAGGTCAATGGGTGAAGGAAAGAAATGACACATTTCAAAAGATCTGCTTTCCTCTTTCAAGTTCTTTTCTGGCCACTTCTTTTTCCTGTTGTGTAATCAAGCAACTCTCGGTCTGATAAGGCAAGTCTGAACCCTCTTGCTTTGGGTTTTTGGTGGTTGGTCTTTGTTGAGGTGCTGGGGCTGAAATTAGACCAACAACCCACTGGGCAGCATTAAGTTCTGCTTGGAACTTAGTGTACCCTTGATGCTCAGTAAATGCTAATTACCAATGATGATAACAAGGCATATAAATTCAGCTTGTTCTTGCTGATCAGCTTCCCTCTTAGGGGAGGGAACAGACCAGCATGAAGCAGAAATGGTGGCCACTTCCCTGTTTAATGCAAAATTCCTTGGGCACTGTCTGCAGCTCTCGGTCACAATTTGAATAATCAATTGTACTAAGAATAGAGGAACTAATTTAATTTCTATAGTGCTACTGGGATCTGCAATAACTCATTTTATGATGTTATAGTTGCATGCAATTGTCTTGCTAGAAAATGAATAAGTATTTGGAAAATTTAATCCCTTGTGGTGATGCTGTTGTTTGTATGTTGTTTTTAAACCGGCTGAATGACATTCATCTCCCTTAGCCTCCAGAGCTCTTCAGGAAGTCTCTGTGTATAAGTGATGCAAATTTTAGGGAAGTGAGTGCTTTCTGTGCTTCTCCTCTTGCTGTATTTTTGGTATTTTCTGCCTCCTGACTTAACTTGTGGTTTTAGGGACCCATTTCACATTGCTTCTGAGCCTGGAATGTATCTTCTGATATCTGTATTTTCTTACAGCTATAATTTCTGTTATCAAAAAACAGTAAAGGAAGGCTTTATTTCTGAAGCTAAGAGTGAGCCTAGAGATTAAATAAACACATTTCCTAGTAAGTATAAATGTTGAAGTACTAAAATTGCCCAAGTTTTTTTTTTTTTTTTTTTGAGATGGAGTTTCGTTCTTGTTGCCCAGGCTGAAGTACAATGGCGCGATCTCAGCTCACCACAACCCCCACCTCTCAGGTTCAAGCAATTCTCCTGCCTCAGCCTCCCGGGTAGCTGGGATTACAGGCATGCAGCACCACACCCGGCTAATTTTGTATTTTTAGTAGAGACAGGGTTTCTCCATGTTGGTCAGGTTGGTCTCGAACTCCCAACCTCAGGTGACCCACCTGCCTGGGCCTCCCAAAGTGCTGGGATTACAGGCATAGGCCACCATGCCCGGCCAAAATTGCCCAACTTTTAAGTAAAATGATACCAATCTAGAGATCTCTGGGTGATCTATGAATGTGTGAGTGTGTCTTGTTTGAATGTTCAAGGCACACAGCCTAAATGTGTGTGATGAAGTGAATGTGAATTTTATGACCATATGGTTAGTTTAGTTCAACGTTCTCTCTAGGGGCAGTGGTGAGGTGAGTGGCTTCTGTTATGATCTATGCAAGGGTGTAGATGGGCACCCCACTATTCATGTGTAGATGGAGTGTTGTGCTCTAGAGAGGAGAGACCTGCCCTTGGGATCTGGGGTTACTCAGAAGATCTGGGGCTTTGTGATTTTCCGCTGATGTTTGGGCTGGAGCCATGGGAGGTGATTTTTGTACTTATGGAGGATGAATCAGCTCCCAGGCCTGGTTACCTGGAGAACAGGGGATAGTATTTGGAGCATCGTGGGGGTAATTTAGGCTTCTTAGGACCTACAATGGGGAATTTTATGAGTCAGCTTGGCTAGGCTATGGTGCCTAGTTTGCTTGATTAGACATGAATCTAGATGTTTCCATAAAGATAGTTTTATTTATTTATTTTTTAAAGTTTCCATAGTTTTTTTGGGGAAACAGGTGGCATTTGGTTACATGAATAAGTTCTTTAGTGGTGATTTGTGAGATTTGAGTGCACCCATTGCCCAAGCAGTGTACACTGAACCTGATTTGTAGTCTTTTATTCCTCACCCCCTTCCCACCCTTTCCCCTGAGTCCCCAAAGTCCACTGTGTCACTCTTATGCCTTTGCATCCTCATAGCTTAGCTCCCACTTATGGGTGAGAACATATGATATTTGGTTTTCCATTCCTGAGTTACTTCACTTAGAATAATAGTCTCCAATCCCATCCAGGTTGCTGCATATGCCATTAATTCATTCTATAAAGGTGTTTTGTAGATGTGATTATCATTTAAATCAGTAGACTTTGAGTAAAGCAGATTACCTCCACGATATGGACGGGTCTCATCCAACCCATCGAAAGCCTTCAGAGAAAAGACTAAGGTCTCTCCAAGAGAAGGGAATTCTGCCTCTTGACTATCTTCAGACTCAAGGCTGCAACATTGACTCCTGCTAAAATTTCCAGCCTGCCAGCTTGCTCTACAAAATTTGGACTTGCCAGCCCTCACAATCACATCAGCCAGTTCCTTAAAAGAAATCTCTAGCTATGTCATACATCCAATTGGTTTTGTCTTTCTGGAGAGCCATGACTAATACAGAACCCTACTGGATCCTGTGTGGAAACTTCAGCTTGGGTTCTTGGGGCTACTGGAGGAAACTTCACCTGGAACTGTGGGCAGCTATGGGGATTTGTAGTGCAGCTGCCACTTCCAGGGCAGCCTTAAGTCCCTAGTTCACTCAGGCTATGATGCCCTGTGGGTTGTGTATAGGCTTCAGTGGGTTATGGTAGCTCATGTCCCTTTGGCTTTTAAGTCTTATAGGTGACAGGTGAGTGGTTTGTACAGATTGAGTATCCATTATCCAAAATACTTGAGACCAGAAGTGTTTTGGATCCTAGATTTTGGAATATTTGCCTATACATAATGAGATATCTTGAGGATAGGACCCAAGTATAAACATGGAATGTATTTATGTTTCATATATATCTTATACACATAGGCTGAAGGTATATTTTATACCACATTTTAAATAATATTTTGCATGACACAAAGTTTGATTACATTGAGCCATCAGAAAGCAAATGTGTCACTATGTCAGCCACCCATGTGGACGGTCTGTTGTTGTCTGGCATCACCATCATTCCTGACTTTATATGCTACCAATAAGCAATAATTTTCTTATGCACACATAAGTATTTGCCAGTGAAAAATATAACCTACCATTAATATAGGTGTATTAATGTGTTTAGGGTAACTAAGCAGCACAGTGCCATCACCAGAATAAACAACAGCAACAACAAACAATGGCAGGCTTTCAGTTTCCACCTGTGGTGCTATGTTTTGATTAAAAGATTATTGTCCACTGTATTTTTTTTTCAGGTGAGAAGAAATAGCAAAAGCAGTTGAGGGACCAAGTAGTGGGTCCTGTAGGGATAAGGAAGCATTCTGTTGGATGGCTTTTAAAAATGTTCCTTCCAGAATTGCCTACTTCATTAATAAATGGTTTTTGTCTTAGAAGTCTCTGATTTTATAAATTGACATGATTTCTTGTTCTGTTATGGATTCGTCATGTCCTTCAATAAGCCCATCACCCATTTTCACCATGTTTTCTATAGGCACTTTTTCTACAGTGTTAACCATGTCATCTTCTTATCGCTATTTTCACAATCACCTTGATTGAGAACCATTCTGGCTATTTCAAGTCAAGATAGAACAAGTGGAGTCTCATTGATGTTAAAAAAAACTTCTTTGATATCTACTTCCATCTTACTGGCAGACTGAAGGTATGATTTTGCATATGTAAGGAGGTCAGACATCATTTTTTTTCTCACTTGACATTCAGCATCCTTCAAAGTCACCACCTTGTTCATCATCACTAAACATAGTTGCAGGCCAGAGGCTTTGCTAGGCATGCACAACCATGTCTTTAGTCATTGTGTTTCAGGCACTGGCAACAGCATATACGGCATCTTTTATGACAGCTCCTTTTGAAAACCTTCCACATCCATGCCTCTGAACACTGCGGCTAGCATGCTGTTCTATAAAGTGTTTTTATATTTACTCTTCACTCATCTAAGGATACCCTGATCACATGGCTGAATTAATGAAGTCACACTGGGGAAAAGTACATGGCATAAAAATATTTTTGATGAAAAGTTCAGGTGGAGGATGAGTAGAACAGTCGTCAAGGAATAACAAAAGGTTGCAGCTCTCATCCAGTCCAGCTCTCCTGCAGTGAGCATGAGCCACTGGTATAAAATATCTGTGAAACCAATAAGAAAAGATGTCCCTGGTGATCCATGCTTTTTTGTTAGCTATGTCATAACAAGAAATTCACTTCCTGAAAGCAGCAAAGACTCAAGCTTTTGCCAATCACAGCAAGTTTACATTTATGCATGCCTGCTGCATTAGCACGTCCCAGCACAGTTATTCTGTCCTTGACATCCTTAATTCCTGTTGGGGTTATGTCATTAGTTGTAGTGAATATATTTCTAGGGCAAGAACACCAAAACACTGATGTTTGTTGGCATTATAAACTTGTTCTTGTGTCAGATTTCCATCAGGAATGACCTTGACAAACTCATCAATGAATTTCTTCTCTGCTTCATGACCAGCAGATGATTTATCATCACAAGTGTCTAAAAATTTAATGCTGTATATTTTCTTAAATTTTTGCAACCAGCCTGTTGAATAGTCACAATTTCCTTCAATTTCTAGTTCACCGTCATAGATCTTTGCTTGTTTCATGATCAGCATACCATTAAGTGGCATGTATTCATCACA